>NC_000021.9:5966593-6161371 GCF_000001405.40 Homo sapiens | reverse complement strand
GATCACGGGAAGGGTGTCCATGGACCCCTTGCCTCAGTTTCCATGTGCATAAGAGACTGAGGTAGCCAATGAACGCTCAGGGCCCCTTCTAAGTCCCGCCAGTGGCAACAGGGTGATGGGTGTTATTCAAGTCATCATCTCCACTATGTAAAGGTCACCCGCCACCCTCCCGTTTCCGGAATCTCCGCTGGGTGGAAACCAGCTTTCCTCCCCCCACCCTTCAAGGCTTCCTCAACTTCCAGATGGCCCCCAGGCCGTGGTCCTTTCCACAAGGAGGGACACACTCCCTGCATTAGGAGGAGGCCATCTCCCTCCAGCAGCCCCAGGTAGGGGCAGAGATAGTCATGGGTGCAGGGCCTGGCAGAGGCCGGCCCAACAGCTGAGAGGGCCCTTTCATTTTTTTGTGGTTTTTTTTTTTTTTTGAGACAGTCTCACTCTGTCGTCAGGCTGGAGTGCAGTGGTACAATCTTGGCTCACTGCAACCACCACCTCCTGGGTTCAAGAGATTCTCCTGCCTCAACCTCCCAAGTAGCTGGGTCTACAGGCGCGTGCCACCATGCCCAGCTAATTTTTGTATTTTTAGTAGAGATGGGGTTTCACCATGTTGGCCAGGATGGTCTCTATCTCTTGACCTCGTGATCCGCCTGCCTCGGCCTCCCAAAGTGTTGGGATTACAGGCGTGAGCCACCGTGCCCAGCTGAGAGGGCCCTTTCTTAGGATCACCGCTGCCAGAGGACACAGCCATGGCAGCCATCAGGCCTGCTGCAAACAGAGCTGGCACTGAAGGTTTTCAAGCCCTCCCATGACAGAGTGCACAGTGGTCGAGGGTTCAGGTCACCCCCACCAACCTTGGGGCCAGAGGGGATGGCCTGACAGCCACCCCCAGACCTGGCCGCAGGATTCTGGCAGCAGCCTCTCCTCAGTGAAACCAGCAGACGAGCCAAGGGCCGTCCCAGTCACCAGCAGTTTTGGGTCCCATGCACACTTGGGTCCCTTGTGCACCTGTTGGGGAGGGGCATGCACAACTGAGTCCCATGCATACCTGGGTTCCATGCACACCTAAGTCCCATGCACATCTGAGTCCCATGCACACCTGGGTCCCATGCACACCGGGGTTCCATGCACACCTAAGTCCCCTGCACACCTGGGTCCCATGCACACATGCACACCTGGGTCCCATGCACACCTGGGTTCCATGCACACCTAAGTCCCATGCATACCTGGGTCCCATGCATACCTGGGTTCCATGCACACCTAAGTCCCATGCACAACTGGGTCCCATGCACACCTGGGTCCCATGCATACCTGGGTTCCATGCACACATGCACACCTGGGTCCCAAGCACACATGCACACCTGGGTCCCATGCACACCTGGGTTCCATGCACACATACACACCTGGATCCTATGGACACCTGGGTCCCAGGTGCACCTAAGTCCCATGCACACCTGGGTCCCAGGCACACCTGCGTCCCATGCACACATGCACACCTGGGTTCCAGGCACACATGCACACCTGGGTCCCAGGCACACCTGGGCAAGCTGCTGGCTGCAGTGCAGGCAGTGATGACAATTCTCCTAACCAAAGACCCGCTGGCACCAGCCTCGTACTTGATGATCCTTCAACTCTTTGCTGAGCACCTTCCATGCACGGCCCTCGGGGGAAAAGCCCTTGATGGAAGGGAGGTGGGCGCTAGAGACACAGGTGAGGAAGCCAAGCCTGTTCAGTAGCGATGGAGCTACAGGGAAAATAAAGCGGGAGCCCTGGGCATGGTGGTTTAAATAGGGAGGTCCTGCAGGAAGGTCCTGACATGCTGCTTTTGGGCAAAGACCTTCAGGCTTGGAGTGGCATGAAGCCTGGGGTCTGCACGTCGGGGAGCTGCTGCCTCTGAGACAGACCCCAAGCAGAATCAGATTCGGGGTCCCAGATCCCCAACCCGCCACTGACGGTGACTCCCAGGCCAGGAGTGAAACCCACGCTCTCATTGCCTTGATTTCTCAGGGGGCTTCATGAATATTTTGGTGTCTGGGGCACCTGTGGACAGTGGAGGAGGGGTGAGGTTGGCCCTGTGTGAGGAGGAGTCCAGGAGAAACCTGCGGTTACGCAGCCACCTTGGCCTGCCTGACAGTCAGGTTCCGCCTGAGGCCACAGTGAGATTGTGGTACGGGACCTTCCTGCTCGGTGATCCTCTGGAGGTCAGCTAGATGTCCTCTAGAAAGTCCGGCAAGGCCTGGAGTTGAGTGGCCCTGGCTAGTGTCCCAGGACCGGCCCGGGCCTCCCGTGGAGGAAAGGGTGTCCAGGAGGGGAGTCGGGGCAGGGACATACAGGGCATCTCCGACCTGGAGGAGGTCCCCCCGCTGCAGAGGTCTCTGGGGATGAAAGCGGGGAGTCCCTGTCTTGACCACACCTGAACCCTACAGGAGGCTTCAAGGGCAGGTGGGCGGTGGGCTGAGGGGGTGCTGAGTCTTTGGCCTCTGAGGCGGTGCCCCATCTGTGCGGCACTGGGGGGCTTCAGATCAGCCTCCTGGCAGCCCTCCCTGCTGACCCCTCAAAGCTGTCCAACCTCGGGGGTGGGGGTCCCGAGCCCCCTTCTCTAGAAGCCCCTTGGCCCTTCCTGGACTGAGGAGCAACTTGCGGCTCTCCCGGCCCTGCCCTGTGTGTGACGGGAGGGGGACTTTGCCTCAGTTTTGTGCAGGATGGGTCACACCTGCGTCCAGAGAGAATGGGGCTGAGCTCTGCCCCGTTGACAATTATGCCCCAAAAGGACGCTGAGAATGTGCGAGTGTCTCTCCTAAAAGTGCTACCCTTTCCCTCGGCCGGGAGGGAGGGGGGCAGGCCAGGACTTGGAGGTACCGTGTGGGCAAGAGGGTTGTTGTCATAGCTCCTGGGTGGTGGGAGCAGGAAAGCTGGAGCCCAGTAGGAAGCAGTCCCCAGGTTCCCACCGGCTGATTCTAGGGTGAGGGTGAGTGGGCGCAGAGGAAGTGCCAGCCCTTCTGGGGAGCCCCCGAGGCTGTAGCAGGGCCAGCTGGAAACCACCCCTCAGTGAACACACAGCCTGTGCCTTCTGGGGCTGGGAGGTCAGGGCACCTCTGCCCAGAGGGCTCCTAAGCTGCCTGGGGAGCATCTCCTGCTGGTCACGAAACCCCAGGGAGCCCTGGGCCCCACCCGGCAGGCACAGAGAGCGCTTTGCCACCCAAGACCGAGTTGTCTCCTTCTAACACCACGGTGCACCCCCAGAAGCTGCAGTCAGGAGGGGACAGGGCAGAGGTGTTGTCCCCAAGCACCCTTGCTCCACAGGGCTGGAAAAGAACAGAACTGTCTGGAGTTACTGGTAGTTGCCTTGAGGGGCGATGAGGGAGGGCACATCGCCTGCCCTGTGGCAGAGAAGAGGCAGGCGCCGGGGCCTTCTGGAAGGCGGTGGGGGTCTCGTTAACCCTCCCAGAAGCAGCAGCTTTCCCACTGTGCAAGTACAGGCCCCCCAGGACCTGCCAGAGGCACCAAAACCACGGGTCTCCGTGTGTGTGTGTGTGTGCATGCTGTGTGCACGTGTATGCATGTGTGTGCCTACGTGTGTGCCTGTGTGTGCCTATGTGTGCTATGTGCATGTGTGTGGTGTGTGCCTGTGTACAGGCCTGTCCCTTAGCAATTGTTGCAGGCCCCATTCCCCCGGGAGACAAGCACTCCTCCCTGCAGCTGTCACCTCACACCCCAGGGCCAGCAGGATGTCTCAGCCCCCTCACCACCCTGCTTCGGTCTCCCGGTCTGTCAACTGGGGCCATTCGATGAGCCTCACCTGAGGTCTCTGCAGACGGCCTGTCCAGGTGGCAGGTGACGAATGCCCGGACACTGGTGGAATCCTATTCCCGGCCCTCCCAGGACTCACTCCAACTCCACAGGCCTTGGGTTGGGGCCCAGACACCTGCCCCTCCTCAAGCTTTCAGGGAAGCTGAGGCGGCCTGGTCTTTGCAGGCAGGTGCAGTGCCATAGTGCACAGCACCCCACCATGACCAGCAGCTGAAACCCCCTTTCCAGCCGCCAAGGCCACCCCACCTGACTTCTCACGGTGTGGCCTCCTGCGGTGTTTCGGTTTTGTGTAAATGGGGTCCCCGCTGCCCCCTCCCATGCTCCTGCACTGGGCCATGCCGAGCAGTGTGTGGTCAGGGCTGTCCCGCCTGGGTGGGTGTTTGGGGGTTTCCGGTGTGGGCTGTGTGGGCCGGAGCTGCCGAGAGCGGGCTTCTGATTTCTGGTTCACGGATGTGCTGCCGGGCCCCAAGGGTGTGTTAGTTCTGCGTTAGCCAAAGCACCAAGACGATGATGTCCCCAGCCGGACTAAGAAGCACGGGGAATGGGTGTCCATAAAGAAGGAGCCGTGCCTGGGCAGAGGGCTGTGCTCGCCCAAGGACAGCGACCCGCGCTCCCCACTTCCTCTCTGGGGACTGGGGGTGGAGGTGCCCCAGAGGCCCCACCAAAGGCAGCCTGAACGGGCCTCCTGAGCCAATGCAGGGCCCCAGGATACTGCTCGGCAGGGCCCTGGAATCGCTTCCCCAGCCCGCCTGCACTTGGCCAGACAAACTGTGTGTTCGTTTGCCTGTTTGTGTGCTTTTGTGGGTGCCAAGCTAGAAGCCACTGAATCTGATCTGTCCCAAGCCACTTGAGCAGCCATTCCTGACACGCGCCACACTGGGCACTGCCCTGGACACCTGCGGGGTCAGAAAGGAGGAACCAGACGCCCGGACCTGCCCCCTAGACCCATGGCCTGGCCCGAGGGAGAGGTGCATGGCTGGCACAGATGCACGGACCTGCCCCCTGGACCTATGGCCTGGCCAGAGGGAGAGGTGCACGGCTGGCACGGACACACAGACTTGCCCCCTGGACCCATGGCCTGGCCCGAGGGAGAAGTGCACGGCTCGCATGGAAGGCCACACATTCCCATCTTGAGGGCAAAGACACCAGGTGTGTGGCAAGGCAGGTGGTCACTCGAGGACACTGCAGAAGCTGCCGGCACTCCCTGGGGCCCTATAAGCAGAAACCCTGCCCAGGGACCTCCTATGGGCTCCAGCTCACATTAATTTCTAGACAGTTCCATTGCGGCTTCGGTGCTTGGTTGGTTTGTCTCCCTGTGGTGAGCACTTTGCCCAGCACTGGAGAAGTTCATGGGCCACTCGCACCTGCCTCTGCTCGCTGAAGGCCTTTTTCCCCAGAGGAAGAGACGCCTCGCTCTCCACAGCTTTCCACTTCAGAGGTCCTTAGAGACTCCACAGGAAATCCCACCAGGAATTTGGGGGTGGAGGCAGCTCTGTTCCCCTGCACCCCAGCTCTGGGCCAGCCCCTTGGCAAGGCCCCTTGGGGGACCCACGTAGAGGGCAGGGGGACCAGGAGCACCCAGCGTCCCAGAGCAGCCCCTCCTCTGGAGAAGCCATGACTGGCTGAAGTTAAGGGGCCTTAAGAAAACAAGCTCTGTGGACCTTAAATGTTTGCTGCTGTCCGAGAGGAGAGTGGAGCACCAGAAGCCATAGACGTCGGTCGGGAGGAGCTGGGTGTCCCTCCCCAGCCCCAAGCCACCAGGGATGCCGAGGAGAACACAGGCTAGGAGAAGCCCCCTCCCCACCCTCTGCCTGGCTCCAGCTTCCGGGAGACGCCCACCCCCTCTTCTCTCCTTCTCCTTCCATCCTTCTGGAGGCTTCCCGGACTTCCCTGCTCTACCACACACACTGTTGGCCAAAATTTACTTTTAAGTATTGATAGAAAAGTCTCTTACTGATAGTATCGTGTGTATTTTTGGGATAATTGAATTCCGCGAGGTGCTTTGTTTTGTTTTTACATGAGCTAGTGGGTCTGGAAGAACCTTCCACAGAGGAGCCCCCGGCTCTGCTCCCAAGCCCTGTCTCTTCCTAACTCCTCGGACTTGAAACTGCCCGGACACGACCTCTGACCCTGCAGGTGTGCAGGGGCAGTTTCCCGGAAGCCATTCCTGTTCTGGACAGCTGTGAGGTACCCATAAGTGACCATGAGCCATCTGCACAGTCATCCCATAACCCCAACTAGATACAGTTTGGGTATCTGTGCCCCCCAAACTGTGCCAACAAGGGGAGGGTGCCTGGGGTGGGGAGAGAGGCTGCCGGGTAGAGAGCGTCAGGTGGGAAACAGGACTGGGCTACACACTTTTGTGGAGTTTGCACCACTCACACCAGCTGCCAGAACACTTCCTGTCCAGGGCCCAGCGCCTCTGGCAGGTGGGAGCCCCATTCAGTGACCGTGGCCCCGCCCCCCTCCCCCGAGCCTCCAAAGAAAGGAGCCGTTGTTTATCCAGCAACAAGCCGTGTGGATAGTGAGGATCCCGGGAGGGGACAAGGAGCAACTGAACACTGGCTCCATGGGACAAAGGCACCGGCTCTCAGTCTCCAGAGTGTGGTCCCCTGGCTTGTTGAGAAACCCCGCGGGACTGGGGAGGGGGAAGGGGGCAGGGGGCAGAGCAGGTGTGACTAGGACCCAATAGCCAGCGTATGTGTGGCTGGTGCAGTGCTACTTCCGTCCCCCTCCTGAGCCCCCCTTGAATCAAATGGCACCGTCACCCCTGCAGAGCGCGAGAAGCCACCCGCCCGGGAGCTGCTAAACGTCATTAAGTCCCTACGGTGACGGTGACGCAGGCACTGAAAGCTCTGAGAAATAGGCCGGCAGAGGGAGGGAGGGAGGGATCCAGGATGCCAGGCCTTTGTGTCCCCGTCACGCCAGGCTCAGGGACGTCGGGGACATCGTCTGAGCCAGGAAAGAAGGAGGCTGGGGGCTGGGCCCAGGGCAGGGGCCCTGTGTGTATAGGAAGGGAAGCCCCGGGCAGGGAGCCCAGCCCTCCGAACGCAGCCTGCTAAGGGCACCGGGAATTAAGACGTGAAAGGCACACAGCAGAACGCGCGTGGGCCTCGAAAGGCTCCCTCGGAGCTCTTCATGGGCTGGCCCCAGGAGTGTTAGCGAGAGTGCCCACTGTTCCCACCCACGGACCCCCGGGCCCCAGCAGCTACAGCCCGAGCCTTGTTCCTGAGGCCCCGCGCAGTAGGAGAGGAGAGAGCGCCACCCAGAACGGACCTCAGAGAGGGTCCCTCCAGAGGGCACGGGCCCACCCTCCTCTGTCCTTTCCTTGCTGGGCATGACACAGGGAATAAAGTAACTCCGGATAGTCCTTTCCTGGGGTTTAAGGCAATTTTTTTTTTTTTTGAGACGGAGTTTCGCTCTGTCGCCCAGGCTGGAGGGCAATGGCGTGATCTCAGCTCACTGCAAACTCCGCCTCCCGGGTTCAAGCAATTCTCCTGCCTCAGCCTCTCGAGTAGCTGGGATTACAGGCATGCACCACCACGCCTGGCTAATTTTGTATTTTTAGTAGACGGGGCTTCTCCATGTTGGTCAGGCTGGTCTCAAACTCCCGACCTCAGGTGATCTGCCTGCCTCAGCCTTCCAAAGTGCTGGGATTACAGACATGACCCACTGCACCTGGCCAAGGCCAATTTTTAGATACCCATTTTAGACACCCATCCCAGGCTGTGTTCAGGAAAAAGTGAGGTGGGGTGTCAGGAGCTGTGTGAGCCTTGTGGTGCTGAGTGGCCATGGGCAAGCCCCTGCCCTCTGGGCCTCGGCTGGGACACAGGTGTCCCTCCCCTGGCTGGAATCATGCCCAGCATGGGCCCATCCGGCTCCGCCCTGCCCCCCGGCCTCACCTGAGCTCACCACACACAGGCCCATCAGGGAAGCGGGACTGGGCACTCCCTGGCACCCCCGAGAGCCGGGGCCAGGCAGAGAGGCCACACAGGCCCACCTGTGCCCAGGTAGGCAGGTCCCGTAGAACCTGGACAGGTGCATGACCTGGGCAGGGGTGACAGCAGAAACACAGCTCCTCATTAAAGAGAAAACCTCATCCTGGATGTGTGCGTGGGTGTGAGTGTGCTTACTTGTGAGTGTATGGGAGAATGTGTGTGTGGGTGTGAATGGGTGTGATGTCAGCGAGGGTGTATTTTGACAGAGAGTGCTGCTAGGTGTGTGAGTGTATGTATGAAATCACCTCTAATTGTGCATATGACTGCTGTGAGATGATGTTGGGTGTCTGATGGGTGTGTGGTGTGTGCGAGATGATGTGTGGGTGTCTGGTGAGTGTGTAGTGTGTGTGAGATGATGTTGGGTGTCTGATGGGTGTGTGGTGTGTGTGAGATGATGTGTGGGTGTCTGGTGAGTGTGTGGTGTGTGAGATGATGTGTGGGTGTCTGATGGGTGTGTGGTGTGTGTGAGATGGTGTGTGGGTGTCTGATGAGGGAGTGTGTGCTGTGTGTAACCATGTGTCTCTGGTATGTGTGTTATGTATGTGAGTGTGTGGGGAGGTTATGTCTTTGTGGTGTGTATTGTGTGTACCCATGTTGTGTGTGTTTCTCTGTGTGTCCATGGTGTGTTCACAACGTGTACCAGTGGTGTGTGTGTCCATGGTGTGTGTGTGTGTGGTGTGTGTCCCTGGTGTGTGTGGTGTGCGTCCCTGGTGTTTGTGTGTCCCTGATGTGTGTGCATCCCTGGTGTGTGTATGGGTCCCTGGTGTGTGTGCTGTGCGTCCCTGGTGTGTGTGCATCCCTTGTGTGTCTGTCCCTGGTGTGTGTCCCTGGTGTGTGTGGTGTGTGTCCCTGGTGTGTGTGTGGTGTGTGTGTCCCTGGTGTGTGTGTGTCCCTGGTGTGTGTGTTTGCGGGGGTCCCTGGTGTGTGTGGTGTGCGTCCCTGGAGTGTGTGTGGGTCCCTGGTGTGTGTGTGGGTCCCTGGTGTGTGTGGTATGCATCCCTGGTGTGTGTGTGGTGTGCATCCCCGGTGTGTGTGTGTGTGTCCCTGGTGTGTGCAGGGGTCCCTGGTGTGTGTGGTGTGCGTCCCTGGTGTGTGTGGGTGTCCCTGGTGTGTGTGGTGTGCGTCCGTGGTGTGTGTGGGTGTCCCTGGTGTGTGTGGTGTGCGTCCCTGGTGTGTGTGGTGTGTGTCCCTGGTGTGTGTGTGTCTGTCCCTGACGTGTGTGTGTATCTGTGCACACGGCTGCCCACCCACAGGCTGTCCTGGCCAGGTGCCTGGTTCTCCCAGGCCCTGCAGAACACTCTGTGCGGAGTGGGCCCAGGAGGTGGGATTCCTGCAGAGCCGGTCCCTCTGGCCCTCGGGGTCTGCGCATCTTGGACAGTGTCCTGTGGGCTGCTCTGAGCCCAGGCACTGCTTGCAGGGCAGATGGGACACCGGCTGGAGGATGCCCACAGCCCATGGGCTGGTTGCTGCTGTCTCCCGCCTGCCTGCCAGGGGCACAGCCGGGGGTTTAGGGTGCAGCCTCCGGCCCGCTGGCTCAAGTTTCCAGAAGAGTCTGCCACAGACAGATCTCATGTAGCAAAGGGCAGAGGCCAGAGGTGGACTCCACACGGGCCTGCAATGGGTGACTGTGGGCAAGTCACCAAACCACGCAGGGCCTCCTGGTCACCGACCAGTCACCACCCCTGTCCCAGGGTAGGTGATGAGACAAAGCCCTTCCCTTGGCCCTGGCAGAGAAGTGAGGAGCAGCCGCTCTGCCTTAGTTTATAAAATGGGAAGAACAAGTCCCTGAGGGTCAACGTTTGGGGGACCCTGCAGAGACTGGGCACAAAGTGTCCTGCACATCTAGGATCAGGCAGGTGATGCTCAGACAAGTTCCAAACACATGGGGAACCAAAATGTGGTTGCCCCAAAATGTGGTTTTGGGGACCCCAACACCTGGGGTGGGTGGGCACAGCGTGCTCCTGTGTTGCTGAGAGCCAGAGAGGAAGTCTCCAACCCCACAGGGCTTTCCTGATCCGGGCATCTCGGCCCGGGGCCTGGCTGCTGGGCGGGCCCCAGGAGTGCCCCCATGGAGGGCCTTCTGGGATGACATTGGCCTGTGGCCACTTCTGCAGCCCCAGCCCAGCCTTCAGGTCTCTCCTGCTTCAGAAGCCCTTGGCCATCCCCAGGCACCTCCCGGACATTGCCCAGAGCGGCGGCCCTAAGACGACAAGAGCTGTGATGCCCCGTTGGTGCCGCTAGGACTGCCCAGCCCTCCTGCTGCTCCGTGGACCTCCGGGGTCTGGGATGGGTGGGTGGGGCCCTTCCTGGTGACTGGCGTTTACTGGGCTTCTGTGGGGCCACCAAGCACCGACACAGGGTCAGAGTGAGGAGCGAAAGCCCTGACGCCTGCCCTCATGGGGAGTCGGTCTCCTCTGGACACGGCCTTGTTCCAGTGACCACAGAGGCTGGCGAGTGCCACGTGGTCCCCACTGCATCACACACCTCCCACGCCCTGCCCGGCGTCAGGGACAGGAGGCTCAGGGAAGCGAAGGACACTGCCCAGGGGCACGGGGCTGGCCAGGGCTCGCCCAGGCCTGCCTGCCCCAAAGCCCAGCTCCTCTCTCCACCCGGCTCCTAGCTTTGTCCCAAAAAGCCGGAAGGACCAGACACTTGGTTTGGGGCAAAACTTAAGTGGGAGGGTGCTAAAAAAAAATCAAGATCAATAACATTTTAGTGTAATACTTTTAAAAATTAAAATTAATGCACAATTCATGATGAACGAAATGTCAAACTTCTAAACAAGTCAAGGCCCGCCTCTGTGTGGCACAGCCCTGGGGGCGAGTGCTCAGCCCACCCCAAACCCCTGGGCCGGGCTCCAGGGAAATGCTGCCAGCTTCCCACTTCCAGCAGAGCCAGCCCCTCAGCTGTGAGACGGTTTCCACAGCGACCAGCCCAGGTAGCGGGGAGGCTCTCCAGTTCAGGGGATGCTAGGAGACACTGGGAAGGGGGATCCCTGCTGGGAAGAGCCAGGAAGGGGCTCCACAATTCCTCTGGAGGAAGCACGACCTCCAAGGATGAGGAGAGGAAATCCCTCCAGCCCAGGAATTTCCCAAGCCAGAGCTCTCTGCCTCATGAGAATGGAGCCACCGTCCCCAGCGCCAAGGGAGGCTGCTCCCTCCCTTCCTCCTTCCCTCCCTTCCTCCCTCCCTCCCTCCCTTCCTCCTCCCTGTCCTTGCCCCCCGGGAGCCTAAGAGCTCGCTACCTGGGGTGAATGCCCAGTAGACCGTGCAGTTCTGATTTTCTCACACACTGCACTTTTGGATGATTACTTATGGATGCTAGCCATTACGAAGGAAGCAAAAAGCCGTGTGCAGTGCAGGACTGAGTTTGCTTGATTAAAAGGCCTCGCCAGTTGCTGACGCCCTGGGGTTGCGTCTGAGGGGCGGTGAACGTGGCCTCCAGATTTCTCTTGCTGCGAGGCTTGGGCACATCCCGATGGCAGTTGGCTGTGGGGTGAACGGGGAGTGCCAGGCAGGAGGCAGGGGCCTGGCAGGAAATAGATGTTACATGCAAATTGAATCACTTAAGGAGCATTTAATAAAGGAATTACAAGAACAGGACAGACTTGGGAAACCAGGAGGGATGGGTGCTCAAGGGGCAGCCCGGGCAGGAGAACCGCGTCTTCCCAAGGCCTGGAGAGGGAGGGCAGGAGCCAGTGCCGACCCAAGCCTTGTAGCTGTCGGTAAGAAGGCCTGGACAGGAGCCGCTCCCCACCCCTGACACACACAAAGGACACAGTGAGTCCCAAGCCCTTGGAGGGCAGTGGAAACGCCCCCTTAACAGGCAACGTTCTTCCGAGAAACAGAACCAGGGGGATTTGTCCCGGCTTTCCTGACATGAAAAAAACAATAGGCGGTTCATATACACGTATATATATTTAGACAATAGGCGGTTTACATACACATATATATGTTTAGAGAACAGACGGTTTACATACACGGATATACGTTTAGACAACAGGCAGTTTACATACACGGATATATGTTTAGAGAACAGGCGGTTTACATACACGGATATACGTTTAGAGAACAGGCGGTTTACATACACGGATATACGTTTAGAGAACAGGCGGTTTACATACACGGATATACGTTTAGACAACAGGCGGTTTACATACACGGATATACGTTTAGAGAACAGGCGGTTTACATACACGGATATATGTTTAGACAACAACAGGCGGTTTACATACACGGATATATGTTTAGACAACAGGCGGTTTACATACACGGATATATGTTTAGACAACAGGCGGTTTACATACACGGATATATGTTTAGACAACAGGCGGTTTACATACACGGATATATGTTTAGACAACAGGCGGTTTACATACACGGATATATGTTTAGACAACAGGCGGTTTACATACACGGATATATGTTTAGACAACAGGCGGTTTACCTAGACGGATATATGTTTAGAGATTTATTTTAAGGCATTGGATCCCGCAATCATGGGGGTTCAAAACCTGCAGGGCAGGCGGCAGGCAGGAGACACGCAGTAGGGCACGTCACCGTCTTGAGGCAGGTGTTCTCAGTGAAACCTCGGTTTTCACTCTTAAGGGCTTCCTTTGAAGGGATGAGTCCCTCCCAGAAAAATCGAGGCTAATCTCCTTCAGATCATCTGATTGTGGATATTGAGCTCCTCTGCAGGACACCTTCCCAGCTACACCTGGGCTCATGTTTGAGCACTTAGGTACTGTGGCCTGGCCAGGATTACAGGTAATGCAAACCTCATCCTCCCCATTTTGCCTCTCCCATCCTGGGCTTCTCTGCCAGGGCTTCCTAAGGGCTGAGCCAGAGGCGGAGAGGGCCTTGGGGGCATGCAGAGAGCTCAGCAGAGCAAGAAGAGGTCAGCCAGGCTGGGGGTCCCGGCGACTCAGGCAGGAGCCTGACGTTTAATTCCAGGTCTGCAGGAAACCATCTTGAGCTCCAGGTGGGAGAGGGTTCCCTGTGATCAGATTCTGAGCCTCGGGCGGGAGAGCGTTCCCTGTGATCAGATTCTGAGCCCCAGGCGGGAAAGGGTTCCCTGTGATCAGATTCTGAGCCCCGGGCGGGAGAGGGTTCCCTGTGATCAGATTCCACAAAAGAAGAGCTTCTTCCTTCCCCTCCCATTCCCAGTCACCCATGAGACCCGTGGCTACCTGGTGGTGGCATGTGGGGCAAACGCCTGTGTTGACCACCTGGGAGGTTTGGTTTCCTCCACTAGAAAACTGGAGAGCTGAAAACATGTCCTTGTAGAACATGTGAAATGACCTCCTGGGGTGCCTGACGCTGCCCGTGCGGGCTCTGGCGATGCCTCAGTGGCTTCCTAAGACACCCTCCTTCACCCCGTACAGTCTCCGGTGCAGAGATGGACGAGCTGGGGGACTCAGGCAATTTCCCCCACAAAGTGTTGCAATGGATTGAGAACGCCTCCCGGAGTGTCTGAGGCCACCTGCATTTTCAGAAGAAAGTTCCACTTTCTTCAGAACAGATAACGTGGTGCTTTGACTGCCATTGTTATCTGCTGCACCGAGTCAGGAGAGGCTGGGCCGTGACGTGACGCAGTAACAAGCAAACCTCCAAAATCTCACAGCTTAATCGCGCTACAGCGTATTTCTCTCTAGGGCAAGCAGCACACGGATTGTCAGGGCCCTCCTCCAGGGTCACTGGGGGGCCGGGTTCCCCATCTCCTAGTGCCGCCCTCACAGACATGCCTCCAGGGTCCCACGGCAGAGAGGGGCCTGTGGAGGAGGCATGCAACCTCTGAGTGTGTTGGCAAGCCGACTCATGGTCCTTCTGCTCAGAGCCCATTGGCCATGGCTGGTCACATGGTCCCAACCTCACCTCGAGGGACGCTGGGCCTGAAGGAAAACACACAGAATATTTAGAGAATTCTCCTGCCCTTCCTCTATGGAAATGTGGGACAGCTGGGCATGTCTAAAATTAATTGGTTTTTAAGAATGTTCAGTAAGATCCCATCCTGGGAAGAAAACCCTATTTAAAAATATATCATATAGAATATATAAAACATATACACATACAGATATAGACTGTGTGTGTTTTCTATTTCCATGTAGCAAATTACCCCAAAACTGAGCAGTGTAAAACAACAAACCTTCATTATCTTACAGTTTCAGAGGCTCCAGGATTTGGAAGAAGCCCAGTGGGGTGGCTGTGGCTCAGGATCTGGCACGAGGTTGCCGCCAGGACGGCAACACCTGCACGTGCGACTGGGCTGGGGGATCCGTTTCCAAGGAAGCTTGCTCACATGGCTGCTGGGGAGAGGCCTCCAGTCCTCACAAGGCCATTGGTGGAGGCTGCAGCTCCTCACAGGCTATTGGCGGGAGGCCTCAGTCCCTGGCCTCATAGGCTTCTCCACAAGGCTGCTTGAGCATTCTCCTAACATGGCGACTGTCTTCCCCCAGAGTGACCCCAGGGAGAGCAAGGTGGGATCCACAAAGCCATTTGTGAACTAGGCTTGGACATCACTCACTGTCACACAGGCCAACTCTGATACAATGATACCAGGACGCTGTGATGGCCAATTTCATGTGTCACCTTGACTGGGAAGAGGTGGCGAGATATTTGGCCGCATGTTCTCTAGGGTATCTGTGAGCTGTCTCTGGGTGAGATCAGCATTTGAGTTGAAGGACTGAGGAAAGTCCATGGCTGTCCCCTGCGTGGGCGGGCATCCTCCAATCCCTTGAAGGCCTGAGCAGAACAAAAGGCTGAGGGAGGGAGAGCCCACTTTCTCTGCCTGAAGGTCTTCAAGCTGATGGGATCTTGTCCAGCCTTCAGATTTGAACTCGGCTGCATCATCAGCTCTCCTGGGTCTCAGGCCTTCAGACTCAGATGGTGACATAGGCCCTCCTCCGTCTCCAGGTGGCAGGTCTCAGGACATCTCAGCTTCTGTAATCACATGAGCCAGTTCCCTGGAATAAATAAACCCGTCTCCTACTGCTTCTGTTTCTCCGGAGAACCCTGATGAATACAGCTATGGAGGCTGGCGGGGAAGACCCCAGAGACATCCTGGAGGCTCCCACAGAGAGAGGGGGGTGGTGCAGGGTTTTATTTCCAGTAGGAATTTTACTAGAGCAGCGGAATTGATGACTAAGGTCCACAGATGAAAATGACAGAGGTTCCAAGCAACCCCCAACACCACCCAGCACAATCTCCACATTCTAAGAAACTCATTAGACCCAGACACACAGCCTGCAGGGCTGAGCAGGACTGACCCGCCAGTCACCCAGCCGCAGCCCCAGCCTCTGTGTGGGGATAGGGAGGTCGGAGTCATCAGAGCTGGTGGCTCATCAGGGTACCAGCCCAGAGGGTGGAGGGGAGCGAGCAGGAGAGCACGCACACCTCTGTCCCCACCCCAAGTCTGGAGAGACAGCAGCCTCACCCCGGGGCAGGGGAGCATGAGCAGGACAGAAGATTCGAGCTTTCAGCTGGGCTGGGCTGCATTTCCACAGTTAAAAGTGAGCAGACGGCCGGGTGCGGTGGCTCAACGCACTCTGGGAGACCAAGGCGGGTGGATCACAAGGTCAGTAGTTCAAGACCAGCCTGGCCCACGTGGCGAAACCCTGTCTCTACCAAAAATACAAAACATTAGCCAGGTGTGGTGGTGGGTGCCTGTAGTCCCAGCTGCTTGGGAGGCTGAGGCAGGAGAATTGCTTGAACCCAGGAGACGGAGGTTGCAGTGAGCCGAGATCACACCACTGTACTCCAGCCTAGGCAACAAAGCAAGACTCTATCTAAAAAAAAAAAAAAAAGAAAAAGAAAGTGAGCAGACTCAGGGGAGTCTGTCCCAGGGGCTGTAAGGGACAAGGAGGGGAGTATGACGGGGCTGGCTGAAAGCTGCGATTGGCCAAAAGAAAGTAGTCTGTACTCATCCCAGGGCTGAGGCTGGGCCAGCAATAGTATGTAGACAGCACGGCCCAGGCAGGTGACGGTGTGTAGACAGCACGGCCCAGGCAGGTGACGGTGTGTAGACAGCACGGCCCAGGCAGGTGACGGTGTGTAGACAGCACGGCCCAGGCAGGTGATGGTGTGTAGACAGCACGGCCCAGGCCGGTGTCGGTGTGTAGACAGCACGGCCCAGGCAGGTGACGGTGTGTAGACAGCACGGCCCAGGCCGGTGTAGACAGCACGGCCCAGGCCGGTGTCAGTGTGTAGACAGCACAGCCCAGGCAGGTGACGGTGTGTAGACAGCACGGCCCAGGCAGGTGACGGTGTGTAGACAGCACGGCCCAGGCAGGTGACGGTGTGTAGACAGCACGGCCCAGGCAGGTGACGGTGTCTAGACAGCACGGCCCAGGCAGCTGACGGTGTGTAGACAGCACGGCCCAGGCAGGTGACGGTGTGTAGACAGCACGGCCCAGGCAGGTGACGGTGTGTAGACAGCACGGCCCAGGCAGGTGACGGTGTGTAGACAGCACGGCCCAGGCAGGTGACGGTGTGTAGACAGCACGGCCCAGGCAGGTGACGGTGTGTAGACAGCACGGCCCAGGCCGGTGTAGACAGCACGGCCCAGGCCGGTGTCAGTGTGTAGACAGCACAGCCCAGGCAGGTGACGGTGTGTAGACAGCACGGCCCAGGCAGGTGACGGTGTGTAGACAGCACGGCCCAGGCCGGTGTCGGTGTGTAGACAGCACGGCCCAGGCAGGTGACGGTGTGTAGACAGCACAGCCCAGGCCGGTGTAGACAGCACAGCCCAGGCCGGTGTAGACAGCACGGATGCAGCCGGGCTCCAGCTGCTCGGCCATGTCCGTGGCCTGCAGAATTCTAAGAAAAACAATGACAGGTAGTGTGTGTGTTCATCCATTCTCGCATTATATAAAGAAATACACAAGGCCGGGTGCGGTGGCTCACGCCTGTAATCCCAGCACTTTGGGAGGCCAAGGCAGCCGGATCATGAGGTCAGGAGATCCAGACCATCCTGGCCAACATGGTGAAACCCCATCTCTACTAAAAATACAAAAAAAAAAATTAGTTGGGTGTGCTGGTGTGCACCTGTAGTCCCAGCTACTTGGGAGGCTGAGGCAGAAGAATCACTTGAACCTGGAAGGCGGAGGTTGCAGTGAGCTGAGATTGCACCACTGCACTCCAGTCTGGCAACAGAGTGAGACTCCATCTCAAAAAAAAAAGGAAGGAAGGAAGGAAAGATGGAAGAGAGAGAGAGAAAGAAAGAGAAGGAAGGAAGGAAGAAGGAAGAAAGGAAGGAAAGAAAGAAAGAGAGAGGGGGAAGGAAGGAAAGAAGAAAGAAAAAAAGAAAGAAAGAAAGAAAGAAAGAAAGAGAAAGAAAGAAAAGAAAGAATGAAAGACAGACAGACATGAGACTGGGTAATTTGTAAGGAAAGAGGTTGAATTGGCTCATGGTTCTGCTGGCTGTACAGGAAGCATAGCAGCATCAGCTTCTGAGGAGGCCTCAGGAAGCTTCCAATCATGGCAGGAGGCAACAGGGGAGCAGGTGTGTCTTCCATGGCCAGAGCAGGAGGAAGAGAGAAGAGAGAGTGGGGGCAAGGTGCACATGCTTTAAAATGACCAGATCTCACGAGAACTCACTGTTGTGAGGACAGTACCAAGGGGATGGTCCTAAACCATTCATGAGAAATCCACCCCCATGAGCCAACCGCCTCTCACCAGGCCCCACCTCCAACACTGGGAATGACAATTCTGCATAAAGTTTGGGTGAGACAGAGCCAAACCTTGTCAGTGTGCATGTATTTGTCTGATTTAAGGAGCTAATTTATAGCCCAGTAAATAAAAAGAGAAGATGAAGAAAGGAGTTAGGAAGGGAAACGTTCAGACAGAGTGAGCTAGAAACCCGTCCGACTACTGCAAACTGGGGTTGGTGCTGTTTCCCCACAATTAAGAGTAGGTGGGGCCTAGGGTGTCTTTGCAATCCTGTCGCTGCAGCTCCTCGTGGGGTGGGGGCAGGCTCAGTAGCCCCTGCTGAGCAGAGGGCCTCTCCAGGCCCTCAGGGACAGAGGGCCTTGGGAGGATGCACCCCCAGCCAGTGCAGGGAGGCTGAGGAAGCTCCCACTCAATGGCAACCACATTCATTTGGCCTCACAGTCCACCCCGGGACTTGGGCGGTCCTGTTAGCAATGACAGGCAGCAGAAAGCGTTTCCATGTAAATTCCTACAAAGCTCTGGCTCTCTTGCTCCGGCTTCTATGATTGGAGCCTGGAACACGGATTCGAAGGACCTTCAGTCAGAAAGGGGACCTGCCACCTTCACGGCAGCACCCAGAGAGCAGCTTCCACGGGGCTGGATCCAGGACCCTAAACCATGGCCCCGAGGCTCTGCCCCTCTGCCCAGGCTGACGCCACGTGTCCTGCCCAGAATAACCAAGGCAACCAGTGACCGTGTCCGGTTCAGATCTGCTCTCCCACTGTTCCCAAATGAGCTTCGCAGGCCAGAGGTTTTGACTTGGAACTGAGCGAGATGAAAACTGTGAGAAGGGCCCCAGGGCAAGGAAGCCCTTCCCTCCCCCGCGGTCAATTCTGCTGCAAAATTTATTCCTGTCCCTCCAGGCCACCAGCGGAGGGAGAGCCAAGGCCCAGGAGGCTGCATGAAGAAACCCCGGCCACCACACCGTGTCCCCAGGGCCCACATGCTCCACTCTCTTTGGTCAAAGAGTCCCTGGTGCAGCGGGGTGACTGGTCCATAAAGATTGTGTCCACTTATGCGCCAGGCACGGGCAAGGGGCTGGGGATACCGAGAGCCTGGAAATGCACAACCCTCCATCACAGTGCTCGCCCATTTGGCTGGGGAGGTGCACACACTGCCCAGCCTCCGTCCTCCCCTTTGCAAGGCAGCAGATAAGTCTCCCTTTTCTATAGGCTGACCCTATCCTGTTATAAGGAGGCGCGTGCTCCCTCGCCAGCCGCAGTGATCAGTCCTGGGAGCTCACACAGCCCAAGCTACACCATTGGAAGTCCCTGGGAGACTTGTCCACAGAGTGAAGGGAAAAACGGCCTCTTCTCATCAGGGCTGCTAACCTGGGATTGCCAGAGGCCATCCCCCACTGCATGGAGAGAGAGCTGACACCCTGAATGAAGTCAAGTAAAGACAAGCAGGGCTGAGATGCCGGGAGAGAGACAGAGCTTTGAGTGCATTATTGAGGTCCTGGATCCAGCCATGCCTGCAGCTGCGCCTGGGTGAGATAGTTATAATAAGCCAACAGGCTCCCTTTTGGCTTACGTTCATCTGAGTTGGGATTCTGCACCAAGAGAGCTCTCCCTACCGCAGATAGGACAGCACTCCTGCAGTAATGCCGGATTAATACAATAGGTGCGCAGACAGGGGTGTGCAGAGGTGCTGTGGAAATAAGGCGGTAGGCAGGACTCAGGTCTTAAAGGATGACAGCAGCTCTCCAGGCAAAGGCCCTCAGAGGGTTCCAGGCAAGAAAACTGCATGAGCCTCAGGGAGAGGCAAGGGAGCAGGTCGGGGCACATACAGTTCACAGTGGCCATGAGGGCCGCATGCAGGCCACAGGCAGTGGAGGGGGCGGGTGCAGGAAGGCAGAGGGTGATGGTGGGAGCAGCACCTCCACTTTCCATCTTGGAGCAGAGAGGTGGTTAAACACCCACGACACACACTCACAGCAACCAGACATAATTCACAAATAGCCCCTCCTGTGTTCTCTCCCAGCAGTGTGAGGGGGACGCAGAACCAGTGTCTCCTCTTAAAATCCCCGAACCCTCCCGCTGGCTGGCCCTGAGCAGCAAAGAGGACACCTGCGCGGCCTTCCTCTCCCGGCCCCTAACTGAGCCACGGCTACATCCCGCTCCTCCCACCAAAGCTCTTCGGCCAGTCAGCCCTCAGGCTCCAGCGCGGCTCGGAGGGGCCTGCCCCTGGTATAGCGCCCATGGTCACTGTCGGACACTCTTAAAACAACGGCCGTGTTTCTGTTCTGCGCTGGGCCCTGAAGCTCATGTCATCAGCCCTGCCGGCTGTGGGGCTCCCGGATTCTCTGACCTTGACCCATGCTGCAGCCACTCCGCCTGTTTCCTGGGGCTGGTTTACACCCCGAGATGCAGGGAAGGCCCAGCTGCGGAGCCCCAGGGAGGCCAGGAGCTGTTCACAACTCCAGGAAGCCACACTGGGCCTCAGTTGACGAAGAAGGCGACACCTTCGTGTGGGCCTTGCCTGCTAATCGGTGTCCTCAACCCAAGGGCACAGGCGCCGCTCCCAGGCCGCGCAGGCAGAGTAGAGCTGGGGTGGATGGCAGGCTTCAGGGACCCAGCCCCGATGAGTCACTTGGAAGGCATTTGCCCCAGAGCTTCCCTGGCCACTGCGCCTCCTCCCGCCCCAATCCAGCCCCATCTGGGTCCGAGCCTCTGGAGAGGAGCTGGCAGGTCAGGATGCGGTTCCCGTGCTCTTGCCTGTGTGTGGGGACCCGAAAGCCAGGCTGGTGGCCGAGGATGGCGAGCACAGCCCCAGCCCCTCGGCCTAGCGGGAGCTTCACGGGACGGTGCTCCCCCCACACCGTGGTGTTGCTTCTGTGGCCCCCTTCAGGGCCCACAGAGGGAAGGGGCCTGGCTCTCCCACGGGGCCTCTGTAATATTTAACCATAAACCAAGGCTGCGGGGAACCCCCAGTTTGCAGTAAACTTCCATTTCTCTCCACTGGATGCGCAGGACTCCACTCAGCCAGGTAGGAGAATCTGCACTCACCTGGTTTCCGGAGCAAGGAGGCTGATGGCATCAGGGACTACCTCCCCTCAGCTTCCTCGGGCCACGCAGGAGTCCCCGGCCCGCCTCCTCCAAGACAGTGTGCGCATTTTGCCCGAGACAACACGGGCCTCAGACCGGGTACCGTGCCCAAGCACACACGGGCACACGCCCCTCCCACCTCCGGGCCATGTCCTGCCAGAGTCCACCCTCCTGGGCACAGGGCAAGCTCAGCTCTCAGCTCTCCCTGCCTGGCTGGCAGCAGCTGCAGCAGGTCACACCAGCAGCTTGGGCTCCCAAGAGCCTCGGGACCCCAGAACCACAGGTGGCCTGGCCTCTGGGGATGGTCGGGGGCTGAGCGTGAGACCCCAGCTGGGTGGCAGAGGCTCCAGTACTGAGGATTCCAGGCTGTGGTAGCACTCCACTGCAGGCCGACCTGCAGGCCAGGAGGAAGGGGCCCGCCGCCCAGGGTGTCTGTTCTAAGGAGCGCAGGGACAGGGCCTCCCCTGCAGGCGAGGCCACAGAGTGGGCCACCTCCTCCTCCCTGACCCCTCCTCCCAAGGGGCTTATCCTCCTCTGCAGGGCTGGTGTTACTCCCCCAAAGCCATCACCCCCCTGTGTCACCTCCTCCCGTGGCCACTTGGAGAAGTGGTCATTGTGGTCACTCCCCACTGTGGTCACCTCCCCCCAGGTGACCTCCCCACCAGGTCAATTCCCCACCAGGTCACCACCCTACTATGGCCTCCTCCCCCAGAAGTCACTTCCTCCTGTGGCCAGCTCCCCACTGTGGTCATCTGCCCCCACATAACCTGACACTGTCAGGTCATCTCCCCGCTGTGATCACCTCCCCCAGAAGCCACCCCTTCCCGTGGTCACCTCCCACCAGGGTGTCTCCCCCCAGGTCACCTCCCCACCAGGTCACCTCCTCCTGTGGCCAGGTCCCTGTTGTGGTCATCTGCCCCAGGTATCTCCTCATCAGGTCATCCTCCCCTGTGGTCACCTCCCCCAGAGGCCACCTCTCCCTGTGGTCACCTCCCTCCCAGGTCACCTTTCCCCCAGGTCACCTCTACCCCACACTCATGCTGACCAACATGAGGTGCCCTTCTCCTGCCGGGAGCCCGCCCGGTCACCAACACTCCCCCTGGGGCTCTCTGGCTCCTGACCTGGAGTCACTAGGGCCAACCCCATCAGACATGCTGGACAACTTTATGTGGGTCACTTAATGCCTCTGAACCTCAGCTTCCTCTTCTGCACGATGGAGACAAAAACATTTGCTCTTCAAGCCTGTGGTAGGGACCAGGTCAGAGTAAACAGGAAGACAGCTTTCGGCCAGGCGGTGCACCTCGGTGCCGGTGAGTGTGAGCGTGTGTGCGTGTGCACGTGTGCAGATGTGTGTGGACGCTCCCTTCTCCGCAGCAGCTCCTGACCCCCTGCAGGTGACCCTCAGCCAGCCCCAGGGCTGCCCCCACTCTCCCCTGTGGACACCTACCTCATTTGGGGTGAAGTGGGGGGACTGGGGTGTGAGGGGTGCTTTGGGGGGCACACTTCGACCCCTCTCTCTGCAGGCCAAGTCCTGAGGCTCAGTTTCCTCCTCTGTGCCCCGGCGACGTGGTGCAGGCCTCGCGAGTGACGTGAGGGTTCATGACCCAGGTGTGGGCAGCCAGCCCTTCACGGGAGGCCACCCACCTGGCCACAGTGCCTGGGAATTTAGGTCGGGCACTGCCGATATGTCGCCTTCCACAAGGCGGGCCCGGGCCTCTGCTGACCGTGCACCGGTCCTGGGGCTGGGTAATTCTGCAGCAGCAGCGCAGCCCATGCCGGGGAATTTGCGGGCAGAGGAGACAGTGAGGCCCGCGTTCTGTGCGGGAACTCCCGAGCTCACAGAGCCCAAGACCACACGGCTGCATCTGCTTGGCTGACTGGGCCAGGCCCACGCGTAGTAACCCGGACGTCTCTCTCTCACAGTCCCCTTGCGTCTGGCCAGGGAGCTGCCAGGCTGCACCCCGCGGTGGGGATCGGGAGAGGGGCAGTGTCGCCCATCCCCGGAAGGCTGAGCCTGGTGCAGCCAGGGAGTGAGGGGGCGGGAAGCCGGGGTGCTGCCCTGAGGGTGCCCCGACACGCTCTCCTGGGGCCCTGAGCGGCTGCCACGTGCGTCCAGGGTTCTGGCCACAGGGTGGGCAGGGGCCCTGTGCTCCTCACTGGAGGCCCCTGAGGCTCTGGAACTGAGACCATCCACCCGCCGGCCCCCTCTCGCCGGCTCCGGCACCCCTGCCTACTGTGACTTCCTGCCCCGGACTCGCTCTGCCAGCTTGGGGCAAACCACTTCCCTCTGGGGTTTTCACTTCCCTCTTTCCCAAGTGGGGAAAGACCACCTGTCCCCGACCCAGAAAGGGCCCCTGCCCGAGGGCAGCAGCAGTGCCAGGCTGGCATGTGAGGCTTGGGGCAGGCCCGGCCCCCAGAGGCACAGGGCGATGCTCTGTGGGACGCTGTGTCGTTTCTAAGTACAAGGTCAGGAGAGGAGCCCCCTGACCCCGGAGGGGAGGAGAGGCAGGGCAGGAAACCGCCACCATCTCAGCCCACAGGCCTGGCTGCTGGGAGTTGCTGACAGCCCGCTCCTCCGGGGCCCCCAGGCCCAAGGCCACCCTGGGGTGTAGCTGTCCGCTAGGCCCTCTGTGCTCCCGGTCAACAGACCCACAGGGCCTGCTTGGCGGAAGGGGAGGGGTGTTAAGAATCAGCCCCCACAGAAAGCATTGCCAGGGGATTTTGTACCAAACCGAATGCACGGGTGGACGGGCAGGGCCTGTGGATGCGTAGGCCAGAGGGAGCGGAGCGATGACAGGGAGCCCCCGGGGTGGGCACGGAGCACAGTCCTTTCCCTCCCAGCAGGCACCTCCCACAGCCTCCCCACCTGCCCTCCGCCATCCCAGGTCGCCCCGACCCATCTGCTGGGGTCCTCACCCGCAGCCCATGAGTCTGGCCGCCAGGACGAGTGCCTATCAGCAGCCTAGACCCTGACCGCTGGAAGGTTGGGTTCTGTGGCCCAGGAGCAGTACCTGGCGTGCCAGGAATGAGCCCCTCTCACCACAGCCTCACACCCAGCCCCAGTCACACCACTGGGGACCGGGCTGGCCCCGGACACAGGCCCACCAGTTCCTCCACCCCTGATTAGGCCCTTCTGTGGTTGGGGTGGGGTAAGCCCTGCCCTGCCTTGCCCCAGAGGCCTTCCACCTCCATTCCTGCCCTCCCTGGCCTGCCCTGAGTGGCCAACTCCCCACGAGGTTTGCCCCCTGCTGAAACCCTCCCCATGCCCGGCTGGCACCGCTGTCCCATCCAGCAGGAGCAGCCCCTCCCAGCCAGAGCCTGCCCTCACAGTGGCTTCCCTCGCCGTGTCCAGGGCAAGGCGCCCCTCCCACCCCCAGCAGCCCTGCGAGGCTAAGGTCCCAGAAGCCTGGGGGAGACCCAGGAGCCATTTCCCAGGACGTAGCGGGGGCTTCCGGGCAGCCTGAGGAGGAGGGAAACGGAGCTTGTGTGGGTTCAGCAGGAACAGGCAGCCCGTGTCCCCCCTTGGGTCCAGCCTTCTGAGAGTCCCGCCTGCCAAGGCCCTCACCTCCCAGGGAAAGCACTTCACTTCAGTGCAGCTCCTTGCTGCGACAGCCAAGAGCCCCCAGAACAGCTCCGAGGAGGTCGCAGGACATAAGAAGCCCCAAGGTTGTTTCTGGGGGCCATGGGGGAGGAGAGCCCTGGGGCACCCCACAAAGAGGAGGAGGCAGAAGTGGGCAGGGAAGGGGAGGCTGTGGAGTCGCGGATCCCACCCGCAAGCAAGGGCTCTGCGCGCTGTTTTCTGTGTCTCTCCATCTGCCTCTGTCTACCCCAACAGGGAGGATGTGTTTATTTAAAGATGCCGCTACTCACAGCAGAAGTGTCTGTTTCAAAGCAGAAATATGATCCTGTTTGGGTTGGAGGAGGGAGTCATTCCATGAGGAAAATATTTCTTCTTTACAAAAAGAGGGCCCTGGAGCGTGGAGAGGGCAGGAGGGCGGACACCACGGGGCAGCTGAGAACTGGAAGCGGGGATTCTGGGCTCTGGGGCTAGGACCCCGGCCCAGGCTCTTCCCTGATAGCCCTGGTGACTCAACGCGTGGGTCTTTTGTCCTTCACGGATAGGAACCGGCGTGTTTGGGCTTCTTAGTTTCCTGTGGCTGCCGAAATTCATTCCATCACAATTCTGGAGGCCAGAAGTTCAAAATCAACATGTGGGCAGAGCCACGCACCCTCCATGGGTTCTAGCGGAAGATCCTTCCCTGCCTCGTCCATCTCTTCCAGCTCCTGGTGGCCCTTGGCTTGTGGCTGTGCCACTCCAGTCTCCGTCTTCACGTCCGTCCCCCTCGTGCCCGTGACTCTGGGTCCCAATTTCCCCTCCTGTCAGGTGTCTCTGTGACAGGACCCCTGTCACACAGGGATTAGGCCCACCTTGCTCAAGTATGACCTCATCTTAACTTGATGACTTCTGCACAGACTCTATTTTCAAATGAGATCACGGCAGGTGCCAGCGCTTAGGACCTGGACATACCATTTTGGGGGCACAATTCAACCCATAATACCCTCCTTCTTAAAAAGAAAGTGAAAGTGGAGGCCGACCTTGAAACGCCAAGGCCTTCCTCCTGCGGGGGCGGGGTGGGAGAGGGGCCTGGCCACCCGCTGAGCCCCGCTCTCAGGCAGCATCTCTGGTGGTAGGAGGGGCCCTGGGGGGCAGCACAGGCAACAAAACCCAGGATGCCCTAGAGGCCCGTCACTGCCCAGGGGGCTCTGAGGTCCGGCTGCAGCATCAGGGTCTGACCCGCTCGGACATTTACCGCCTCTGTGATCTGGACTGAAGGCTTCAACCTTTAGTTCTCCCTCTGTGAAGTGCGCTGACAGAGAGGCCTTGGTGAGGTCACCGGGACAGCTTGCCCGTGCCCAGCGAGGGAAGGAGGAAGATGGGGCCGGCCACTCCGCTCAGCTGCAGGACGACACCCTTATGTACTTCCCAGCTAACCTGAGACCTCAGTTTCCCCATCTGCACCCCTGTGAGGACAAAATCTCTGCTTTGCTCCCCACCTTACCCACGCATGAGGCCTCACCCTTTGACACAGCAAGATGAGCCCCAGGAACGGGAGGTGGGAGAAGGCAGCCTAGCCAGCCTCTACATCCAGAGGCCCACACCCCCAGCCTTGCGTCTGGGGAACGTCCCAGAGTCCAACCATCTCCCATCTGAGGGGCTTGGGGTCCTGCAGCTGCAGACGACTGCACCCTCAGGGCCGACACCCACCCTGGACGGGCAGACATGCACCCCTGCTTACGCCAACTGCTCTGTCTGGGTGCCAGGCAGGGACAATTCAGCCCTATCACGGGAGCACTGCCGGGGGCTCCCACCCACCTCTGGTCCTCCGGCCACGTGTGCCTCAGTTTCCTGACCCATAAAGCAGGGAGGCTGCGATGACAACCTCAGGGGGGAACATCCCCAGGGGCCTGGGCACAGTGGCGTTCAGGACATAAACCACTGTGGCCAAAGCCTCTGGGACAGGCCTCTGAGCATATGCAATCAGGAGAGTGGGGAGAAGCCAGTCGCTGGGTCCAGGAAGCAGAAGGGAGGGTGCTGAGGGCACCTGCTGTGGGTGCTTCCTTGGGGTAGAAACGAGACCAGAAGCCCCTAGGGATGAGAGCCTGGCCACGGCAGGGACCCTGGAATACAGATGGATCCCACATGCAGAGCGCGTCCCCGGGAGACCCCAGACCTGGACGGTCAGCAAGGCCTGGGGTGAGAAACAGCTCGGTCCCAGGTAGGAGGGGTGCCCAGAGCCACCACAGGCTCTGTGACGGGAGGGCCAGGCAGCCATCACCGCCCACTGGGCTGAGCCTGCCCTGCACTTCCAGCTCCTGCTCCCGGAAACTGCCCGGTGTGGGGGCCAGAGGGTGACCCCACAGCACTGTGGCCCAGAACACGCGAAGGCAAGCTTCACCCGACTCGGACCACTGCTACCGACCGTGGCCAGCCCACATCACTGGAGCCCGGGCTCTTTCCCCCGACTGGGGGCATTGCCGGGGTGTGTGCTGGGGTGCGCCCCCGTCCCCCACAGGACCTGGCCGTCCACTCCACTCACCAAGGGCAGCTCCAGCCACCCCCTGCAAGCTCTGCTGGACCCTCCCGCTCCCTCACCCATTGCTGTAACCTTCCCGCCACCCTTGGTGCCAACCCTACACCTGGGAGCCACAAACGCCTCTTGGATCCCAAGCCTCCAGGCAGGGTGGTTCTGAGCGGGGTAGCATCTCCCAAGCCCTGGCCAGCCCCGAACCCCCTGCACCACCCCAGCAGGGCCCGGGGAGCTGTGGTGCTCTGAATTCTGAGTGGCCGATGGCGCATCATGCCGGTGAGAGGTAATAATCACTGCCTGACTCAGACACGCAGACTGCTGGGCTGTCATGCCTATTTCAGGAAAATTAATTATACCCCATGCCGAGAGGGAACTCGCCCATTTAACGTCTTCAACGCACCTGCCCAGAATGCCATGGCACAGCCTGCCTGCACCCCTGGGCATGGGAAAGGGTGGGCAGAGCCCCCAGTTTCTCCAGGTGTCAGGCGGGCTTGCAGGGTGGTGGCCAGCAGGGCTCCAGGCCCTTCTAGCCAGGCCCGACCCCGTCACCACTGATACTGGAAACTGCAACCTTTGCCCAGGGAGTCCCCTTTGAAAGCCAAGCCTTTGATCCAGCTGAGTGCCAGAAAAGGCCTTGGGCCGGCCCTGGGGCTGGCCCGAGGACCTGGCTCAGGGACCTGGCTGGCCCTACTGTGGCATTAGAAAGCTCCGCACCAGTAAGCCGACCGTTGCCCACATGGGAAGGCTGCCCTATGCCCTCTGGACAGTTGGCCCTGCTGGCAAGCCCGTTTCCTTCTCCTACTTGCTCTATGGGGCCTGCTAAGATGGACAGCAGGCACGTCCAGGACCAGGGGCTGGGAGCTGGGCTTAGCTGCCCTGGGCTGAAATTCAGCCCAGGCCTCTGGGCCCCGAGCTTTACCTTTCCCTGGCAAGAGTTGATGTACACGTTGGCGTAACCAGGCTGCACACATCCCAGGACAAGCTTCCCAACTGTGACTAGCCATGGCTCACGTTTGCCTGGGTTCCCCCACCAGGCTCGCCCCAGGCCTGCCCTTGCTATGTCCTCAGACACCCGGGGGCAGGCACAGCTGTCACCCTCCTGGCAGCTGGAAAAGAAGGGCTTGAGCAGTTCTACAGCTCAGCGAGGCTGCAGGGCTTTGCAGGGAAGAGCCGCCAGGTGCCAGACGTCACGCGTGGCAAGGCAAATCCTACAGCCGGAACTGGCTGGCTCCGGTGCAGGCTTGGGACTTGTAGGCACACAGATCCACCCCGTCCTAGAGAAGCTGTCATTGCCACATCTACCAATTGAGGCTGTTGCATTTGTTAGTAGTTTTCAAATGTGTTTTGTCATTGTTATCATAAAAATAAATTTTATAAGAACACCATTCCACCAAACACAGTAAGAGTGATGGTTTCAGGCAAGCCCACAGCCTCCCTAATGCTTGCTGTGGCCCGGCGTCTACCATCTGACCACGAAGACGTGGACAGAGGCGTGTGCACCCCATCCCCTTCCCACGTAGAGATACAATGGGTAATTAACGCACAGTTGACCCAGGAGATGACATGAAAAGAGGACATTCCCAGGAACAAAGAGGAGACCAGACAAACCAACTGGACACAGAGCAAGAAACACAGGCATGTCATTCACTACACTCAATACTACATGGGCTTCAGCAACCTACGTGTGGATAAAGAAACTGTGGTGTGTGTATATATATATATATATATATATATATGATGGAATACTACTCAGACATAAGAAGTAATGAAGTAATGGCATTTGCAGCAACTTGGATGAGATCGGAGGCTATTATTCTAAGTGAAGTAACTCAGGAATGGAAAACCAAACTTCGTATGTTCTCACTTATAAGTGGGAGCTAAGCTATGAGGATGCAAAGGCATAAGAATGACACAATGGACTTTGGGGACTCAGGGGGAAAGGGCGGGAAGGGGGTGATGGATAAAAAACTACAAATCGGGTTCAGTGTGCACTGCTTGGGTGATGGCTGCACCAAAATCTCAGAAATCACCACTAAAGAACTTCCTCACGTAACCAAATACCACCTGTTCCCCCACAACCTATGGAAATAAAAAAGTTTAAAAAAAGGCTGCTAAATGGGCTAAACTCACCAATGAAAAGCAGAGATGGTTGGACTGGCTAAAAATCAAAGACTTAAAGTATGCTGTCTGCAAGAATCACACCTGAAAGACAAAGACAGACTGCAAATATAGAAATGGTCAAAGATACAGCATTCAAACCCTGACCCCGGGGCGGCTGGCACGGCCACGAACATCGCAGGCAACATAGACTCCAGGGCAAGGAAGATGGACGAAGACACGTGGAGACAGTTCATCAGTGAAGAAAGGGTCAGCCTGTTAAGGAGACCCACAGTCCTAAATATGCACGCACGTGATGGAAAGCTTCAAAATATGCAGCTGGAAATGAGAGCAGTGAAGACACAGATGAAGGCACGAGCTTCGTCCGCCACCTCACGCTCTTCCCCCAGCAATGAACAGAGAAAGAAGACAGGTCAGTGGAATGTAGACAGCTCCAAAAACAGCATCTCCAGCTCGCTCGGATGTCTGGAGGCTTCCCGACCGCAGCAGAATACGCGCTTTTCTCAGGGCACATGGTGTAGACCCAAGCAGTCAGCTGTAAATTAAAAATTAACAACTAAAAGTTACCTAAAAATGGCTAAGTATTAAATAATTAGAAATGGAACACATTTCTAAGTGACCCACAGGTAAAGAAGGAAATTACAAGAAAAACAGAAAACATTTTGCTTTTTTTTTTTGAGACGGAGCCTTGGTCTGTCGCCCAAGCTGGAGTGCAGTGGTGCAATCTCGGCTCACTGCAACCTCCGCTTCCCGGGTTCAAGCGATTCTCCTGCCTCAGCCTCCCAAGTAGCTGGGATTACAGGCGTCCACCACCACAGCCGGCTAACTTCTGTATTTTTAGTAGAGACGGGGTTTCACCATGTTGGCCAGGCTGGTCTCGAACTCCTGACCTCAGGTGATCCACCTGCCTCAGCCTCCCAAAGTGCTGGGATTAAAGGCATGAGCCACCGTGCCCAGCCTAAAAACAGAAAACATTTTGAACTAAATGAAAATAAAAACACAACACACCAAAACATACAGGATGTAACTAAAGGCGTGCTTATTGAGAAATCAGAGCTTTAAATGTTTATATCAGAAACAAGATATAAAATCAATGATTTGATCTTTTAAAAAGCTAAAGAAGAGAAAATTCAAATCAAATTAAGTAGAAAAGGGTGATAATACAGAGAGGAAATCAACTACATAGAAAATGAATAAGCAATAAAGCGAATCCATGGAACCCAAGGGTGGATCTTGGAAAATTAAAACAAATTGATAAACTTCCAATCAAAAAGATAAAAGAGAGTAAATACAAACCTTTAATATCAGAAATGAAATGGAAGACATTAGCACAGATTCGACACAACAGAAAGGTAATAAAGGAATATTGTGGACCAGGTGTGGTGGCTCATGCCTGTAATCCTAACACTTTGGGAGGCTGAGGTGGGCAGATCACCTGAGGTCAGGGGATCGTGAACAGCCTGGACAATATGGTGAAACCCCGTCTCTACTAAGAATACAAAAATTAGCTGGGTGTGTTGGCAGCCACCTGTAATCCCAGCTACTCTGGAGGCTGAGGCAGGAAAACCGCTTGAACCTGGGAGGTGGAGTTTGCAGTGAGCCGAGAGCGCCCCACTGCACTCTAGCTCGTGCGACAGAGCAAGCAAGACTCCATCTCAAAAAAAAAAGAGAGAGAGAGAGAGAATATTGTGGACTTTACACCAACAGACCTGACAACCCGGAGGACAGGAGCATGTGCCGTGACAGACGCGAACTTTCAAACTCACTCGAAAACGAAATCCCAGATCTGAATGGTTCTCAACCTACTAAAGAAACTGAATTTGGGATTCAAAACCTTCTGATTAAGAAACTAGGCCCACATGCCTTCCGTGATTTAAAGAAGCATTTAGGGACTCAAACATTCAAGGAACAAATAATAACAATTCTACACAAGTAGACAGTCAATACAAGGTGCAGAAATTGACAAGCTGATTCTAAAATGTATACAGAAATGTAAAAGACCTAAAAAAGCAAAAATAATTTAGAGAAAGAACAAAATTAGATGATTTCCACTACCTGGTTTCATTAAGATTTAAGCTATGAGGATAATAATAATCAAGACACGTGCTGTGCTGGCCAGGTGCGGTGGCTCACGCCTGTAATCCCAGCACTTTGGGAGGCCGAGGTGGGCGGATCACAAGGTCAGGAGATGGAGACCATCCTGGCTAACACGGTGAAACCCCGTCTCTACTAAAAATACAAAAAATTAGCCGGGCGTGGTGGCGGGCGCCTGTAGTCCCAGCTACTCGGGCGGCTGAGGCAGAAGAATGTCATGAACCCGGCAGGCGGAGCTTGCAGTGAGCCAAGATCGCGCCACTGCATTCTAGCCTGGGGAACAGAGCAAGACTCCATCTCAAAAAAAAAAAAAAAAAAAAAAAAAAAAAAGACATGTGCTGTGCCACAGAACAGATAGATCCGCGGAACACAGCAGAGCCCAGAAGCAGACTCTCGAGTTGATGGTTACTTGATTTCTCACAAATGTGTCATATTAATTCAATGGGCAAAGCGGAGTCTTTCAGTAAACGGCGCTGGAACAACTGGTTATCCACAGAAAAAAATAAAAATAAACCTCAACTGCTATCCCGAACCAGAGGCAAAAATCAACTCAAAGTGGACAGAGCTGTAGACACGAAGGCTGAAAGCATAAACCCACTGGAAGGGCACACAGGAGAGCCCCCAACACTGGGGTAGACAGAGCTTTCTTGGATAAGACACAAAAAGCACCAGCTGCAGAAGATTAAATGATCAGCTGGACTTCATAACAATAAAAACCTTCAACTCTTCACTCTTCAAATGAAAGGCAAGCCACAAGGGAGAGAAATATTCTGTGTGTGGCAGGAGGAGAGGGTACAGACACATACACTCATGTGACAAAGGGACTTGGGTTCAGAATATAAGGTCAGAATATAAGGAACTCCAACAACTCAATAATAAGAATTCAAACAACCCAATAAAAATTAGCAAAGGTGGGGCACGGGGGCTCATGCCTATAATCCTAGCACTTTGGGAGGCTGGAGGATCACTTTAGCCCAGGAGTTCAAGACCAGCCTGGGCAACATCGTGAAACCCCTTCTCTACCAAAAATAATATACAAAAATTAGCCAGGCGCGGTGGCGCATGTCTGTACTTCCAGCTACTCAGGAGGCTGAAATGGGAGGATTGATTGAGCCCAAGAGACAGAGGCTGCAGTGAACCAAGATGGCACCACTGCATTCCAGCCTGGGTGACGGAGCGAGACCCTGTCTCAAAAAACAAAAACAAAAACCAGCAAAGATGCAAATAAATATGAAAAATAGAATGGCTAATTACAAGACAGTCAACATCACCAGTCATCAGGAAAATGCAAGATAAAATCATGATAAGACACCACGACAGACTATCCAAGTGGCTAAAATTTAAAACACTAACAACGCTAAGTGTTGGTGAGGGTTGGAGCAACCGGAGCTCTCGTACGTGGTGGGCAGGAACGCAAATAGGAGCAGCCACGTTGGAGAGCAGCTGGGCGGCTTCTGTTGAGTGAATCGCTCTCATGCCACACGAGCCAGCCTCTGCACCTTGGCCTACATTACCCAATAGAAATGAGACACGTCCACACCAGGATTCACAGCAGCATCATTTATAATCGCCCCATGCCGGGAACCACCCAAACGTTCATCACCAGGTGAGTGGGTAAACAAACGGTGGCCTTCCCCACCACGGAACACGACTCAGCAGGAAACAGGAATGAGCTCCTGATGCGCGGCACGTGGAGGAAGCCACGTTTAATTATGCTGAGTGAGAGAAGCCAGCCCATCAGGAGCACACGCTGTCTGATTCCATTCCTAGGAATTCTGGAAAATGCAAACGCATGCCCAGTGACAGGAAGCAGGTCATCCGTTGCCTGGGGCCGGGAACACGGCAAGGGCACGGAGCGGAGAGCCCAGGGGAGCTTTCTGGGTGACAGGCGTGTTCTGTGCGTCAATTCTGATGGTGGTGACCCAGGTCGGTGCCCGGCAGAACTCCTTGAAGTTCGCACCAAAGACGACGCATTTGGTTCAGGTCACTGGGAGCTCGGTGGAGCTGATTTGTTCTGGGGCACATTTCTGCTGAGACGGATTTGCGTTCTCCCCTGAGCCTCACAGTCTTCCGGCCCCCCGCTCTGGAACCCAGGGCCCCGGGCTTTCCACTTAACCTCTTGGCTGGAAGGGAACATGCTCTGTGATCATAGGAAGGTACCTTCCCCTTCAAATTTCAAAGAAAAGCCCCTAAAATCTGCTGGGGAAGCCCATTCATTCCAGACCAGAACACTGCAAAGGACAAAAGGGGAATGGAGCATTTCTGGCCACCTGGGTTCCCTGAGTACTTTTTCTAAGTCCTTTCTTGTTTCTTGTTTCTTTCTTTCTTTCTTTTTTTTTTTTTTTTTTAACAGAAATCACATTCAAATACGTGAAATAATAATAATTAGAAAAAAGTGAGTCAGACTGAGACCCCAGCAGTTCCCCTGAGGAAAGAAACTGAACATTCCCTACCTCCTCCCTCCCTCCCTCCTATCTCCCTCCTCCCTCCCTCGTCTCCCTCCTCCTTCCCTCCTCTCTCCTTCCCTCCCTCTTCTCTCCCTCTCTCCCTCCTCTCTCTCCTTCCCTCCCTCCTCTCTCCTCCCTCCTCTCTCTCCTCTCTTCTCTCCCTCCTCTCTCCTCCCTCCCTCCTCTTTCTCCTCTCTTCTCTCCCTCCCTCCCTCTCTGCCTCCCTCTCTTCTCCCTCTCTGCCTCCCTCCTCTCTCTCTCCTTTCCTCTTCTGTCCTCCCCTCTCCCCTCCCTCTCCCCCTCTCTCTTCTCTGCCAGGCGCCACACCAGCTGCACAGGCAGGACCCGGAGCCCAGCCCTCCTGGTCTCTGAAGAGCCAGACCTGGACACCTTCCTCAGGACCCGCCCGCCTCCGAACAGCAGACTCCTCCCAAGATCAGAGGTGGGGCCACAGGCAGGGCGGCTGTGCTCACCCAAGCCCTCACCAGCATGCCGCCTCAACACCCCGGTGTTATTCCGGAAGAAACACGAAGAGGCCAACTCTGTTTCTTCCACCCCAAGAGAGTCGGTTCCTCTTAGGTCAGATTCAGTTCCTGCCTCCGAGGGAGGCGAGCACGTGCAGAAACAGGTGGATCTTCCCTCGGCTCCCTCCAGGCTGGGCCCAGGGACCTCCCTCTGGCTGGGGCATCCCCTCTCTCCCCACCCCCACCCCGAGAGGCCAGTCCTGCTCCTGGGAGCCAGTATTTCTGGACTGCCGGAAAGCCTTCTTCTTATCCCGCGGCCCAGCGAGGAGAGCGCCAGCCGTTCAGGGTGACAGAAAAGCACAGAGGCAGGGCCCAGGCGCCTCCAGGCGAAGGCCTCCGCTCCCACCCCTGCGAGAGGAGGTGCGTCCACGACGGAATAAGCAGGCGGTCAGGTCGCCAACAATCCGGTCAACCAGGGTGCTTCTTCCCTGGTGGGTGTCTGGCCCCGTTCTTGCTGGGGATGGCGCTCGGGGATGCCACCGTGTTTCCCCAGGGCCCACTGTGCACCCTGCATGTCGCGCCCTTGTCACGGGAGCGGCCTGCTGACCCGGAGCACGCGTGGCCGTCACAAAGGGCTGCAAAGCTGCAGCACCAGAACGCAAACTCAGGCGTGCGGCAACGGAGGCCACGTTCTCAGCCACCGTGCCACTCTGCATGTCAGCTGGCTGGGCGTGCCTCCGTCTTGTGTTAGCAAGGACATGGCAATCACCTGATTTGCTTTGGTTGAAGCTCCAGGCAGTACCTGGCCCCTCACCAGACTGAAAAAGAAAGTCCCAGAACCCCAGAACCCCGCATGGCTCAGAAGTGCCATCGAGTACTAGGGGTGCGCCAGGGCCCGGCTCAGCCCGGCCAAGCCCCAGCAGGAAGGAACATGTCCTCAACGAGAACATCCTGCAAAATGCCCGGGGTGGGTGGGGGATGCTCACGGTGCCAGACGTGGGCTAGGGGCCATAAAGGACCCTCAGGCAAGGGGCAAACACACCCATGGGTGTGGCCAGCTCCCTCTACCCATCAGGACCTCCCCAGTGGAGGGACTGAAATGACTCAGGAGCAGATCAAGGGGCCCAGGGCAGAATTCTGGAGTCCTACAAGGCCTGTGGGAGGCTCCCCAAGGGGGGCTCCAACTTTCAACCTGAGAAGTCTAAGCCTCTATCACCATCATCATCGCCATCGTCTTCGCCACCATCAGGAGTTCTGGAAGAAGCGCCCAAGCATGGGAGACGCAGGGATGGTTTTGCCAGTGCTGTGTGTTAAGGAGCTGCTACCTGCTGGGGCTGCTTCAGTACCCTGGAGCACCATGAGACACATCTGTCCCCACGAGGAGCTGACCACTAGGTCGGGGAGCTGAGACATGGGCAGGTCACACCCTGAATTCGCATGCACGACACGACAAGAGGTTCCGACTCGAGGTTCCTGGTTTCTAAGGCTCCCAAACAATAAACACAGGTGCCCTCAGCACAGCCGCCCGGCTCCTTGTTCAGCAGATGCCACACAGCCCAACCTTGGTGTCCTGAGGCGGCCCCACTCTAAGCGGGGTGGAGCGACGAGGCTGCCTGGAGACAGAGCAGCTCCGTGGGCCCCCAGCTCCCCTGCCAGATTCCCCCACACAGGCATGGCCCAAGCAGGCACCTCCGCTCACTCAGGAGTGCTCAGCCCTGGTTTGGCCTCCCTGTCAGACAGCCTCAAGCCACTAAGCCAGCGGCAGCCACAGCCAGGACCTCGGAGGCTACTGCTTTGTTCTTAGAGACAGCAAAACCGCAGAGATGACTCAGAAGACAAAGAGCCCCCTCCCCGGCCTCTCCCACCATCCAGCTGCCTGAGGGGCCGTCGCAGGGCAGGCTCTCCCGAGGGCCAGGACGCCCTGTCTGAGCAGGGCTCCAGGAACAATGAGGCTGGCCCCGGCCACACTTATGCCCAGCCAACCTCAGCACTGACAGTGGCCTGCCCTGTGCCTGCCCCTGCCCATGGCTCCTGCCTGCTCTCCTCATGGGAACTGCTGCGCACTCACTGAGCATCTGCCTCCTTGAGAAAAAACTTTGTTTTCTTCTTAAAAACATTGTGGTCCCGGCGCAGTGGCTCACGCTTGTAATCTCCACACTTTGGGGGGCTGAGGTGGGCGGACCTCAAGTGTGAGGTCAGAAGTTCGAGACCAGTTTGGCCAACATGGTGAAACCCCATCTCCACTAAAAATACAGAAATTAGCCCGGCATGGTGGTGGGGGCCTCTAATCCCAGCTACTCAGGAGGCTGAGGCAGGAGAATCGCTTGAACCCAGGAGACGGAGGTTGCCGTGAGCCAAGATCACGCCACTGCACTCCAGCCTGGGTGACAAAGCAAGGCTAGAAAAAAAAAAAAAAGTAGTAAAATAAACGTAACATACAATGTATCGTTTTAACCATTTTTCGGTACACAGTTGAGTGCGTTAAGAACGTTCATACTGTTTTGCAGCCATCGCCACCGCCCAACTCCAGCACTTTTCATCCTCTTAAACTGCAATTCCCACCCATTCATCTCTGGCTCAGCAGCCCCTCCCCAGCCCCCGGCACCCCCCACTCCCCCTTCTGTCTCTGTGAATCTGTCCCCTCTAGGGCCCTCGCGTGTGTGTTCTTTTATGACGGGCTTGTTCCACTGAGCACGGCATCCTCAGGGTCCATCCTCGCTGGCAGCCATGCTGGGCTTTCCTTTTGTACGGCTGAGGCCTATTCCACTGTCGGCATGGACTACATCTTCTTTGTTTGTTTTTTTGAGACAGAGTTTCGCTCTTGTTGCCCAGGCTGGAGTGCAATGGCACAATCTCGGCTCACCACAAACTCCGCCTCCTGGGTTCAAACGATTCTCCTGCCTCAGCCCCCCCGAGTAGCTGGGATTACAGGCATGCACCACCATGCCCCGCTAATTTTGTATTTTTAGTAGAGATGAGGTTTCTCCATGTTAGTCAGGCTGGTCTCGAACTCCCAACCTCAGGTGATCCGCCCACCTCAGCCTCCCAAAGTGCTGGGATTATAGGCGGGACCACATCTTCTTGATCCCTTCATCGGCTGACGGCCCCTCGGGCTGCTTCCTAGTATGGCTGTCGTCATGCTGCTGTGAACATGGGTGTACAAACCTCTCTGGGCCCTGCCTTCAGTTCTTCAGGGTCCATACCATTAGGAGGAGCGGCCGGATCAGGTGGTGGTTCTAATCTTTGAGGAGCTGGTACACTGCTCTCCCATAAAGGCTGCGCCATTTGACCCTCCCACCAACAGCGCACAAGGGGTCCACTTTGGTAAGGACCACCTTAATGGGAGCGAAGAGGTTGAAGAGCTTTTTTTAACCAAAATATCCACCAGGTGACAACATGAACAAGTCCTTTGTTCTCATAAAGCAGCAGTGTGTGCCCTCTTGCTAGAAGGTGGTGAAGTCTTTCAGAGACCAGGAAATGGTTTGGCTGTGAGATTCTTCCAACTGCTTAATTTATAACCAGACTCAGAGAACCTGGCGGAGGATGGGGTAAGGATGGATGGTGCCGGCAGCCCCGGGCGGTGCTGAGACTTTCAGTGACTGAGCCCGGCCACTGGGGAAGGGTCCTGAGGAGGGGGCAGACCACGGGGCCACCTGTGGCTGCCGCAGGGGGAGGGGTCCTCTGCAGACGGAAGGCCATTAGTTCCCTGCAGTGAGGTGGAATGCAGGAGTTGGCTCCCTGCCCTCCTCTTTAAGATTTGAAACTTCTACAAGCCTGGAGGATGTGGCCTCTCAGGGAAGCCGCTTGGAAGGAAAGAGCTCCCAGAGAGATGAGAGAGAGAGGAAGGGAAAAAGTCAAGGTTTTTTCCTTCCAAATATTTTATTTAAATATTAAATTAAAAAACATACATCAACTAATCATTTGGCATACATTTCTCATGTTAACATAAGAGATAAAATAATTCAGTTATGGTAAAAAAAAAAACTATGTACATCTCAATCAGATCACGTAGTGTCTTTAAATAGGCTATTGCATTGCCGTCTGTATTACAGCACTGTCAAGAAATCTACAAAACACACATCACACACTCTTAAAAAAACAAGTAAAACACGCCTTTAACGTCCTCCAAAAGAGGTTCCACAGCAATAAGAAAAAACAAAAACCACCGTGAAAGTAAAGTGCTTGTCATTGCTTCAAAGAGGAAACACACAATGGTTTCTGAGGCCTTTGATCTATGGCATTAGAACAGAAATCATTTTAAAAAGGGGAAGGAGTTTTGTGTTGGAATCAATTGTGCTACCTCTGTAAAAATGAAGGCAAGGGCCTGGCTGCCCCAAGATGGTCTGGATTCTCTCCCATCCCAAAAACTTCTTTATGAGCGAACAGGAGACTTTGGTGTTTTCTCTGCGGCAAGGCACCTGGTCTGCCCTCCGGACAGCCTTTCGCCCAGTCTTTGAAACAGCCACAGAGCAGCAGCAGCAGCAGCAGCAGGAATGGGGGCAGCCAGCTTCCCTGCGGCCCGGCACAGGCACAGCCCCCGGTGGGCACCAGCAGGCCAGGGATGCAGCCTCCTGCACTGGGCCCGCCTCCCTACCCTCAAGTAACTGGGTCAATCTTTGGCTTTTAAAAATACCCGCCTTTCCCCTTTCTCAATGCCTCTGTTTAACACTGCAGGGTTTAAGAAGCCGAAGTAGCTGAAGGCACCTGGGCTGGGTTTGGGGGCGGGGACTGGACTCAGGGAGCAGCATTGCCTTCGTTGCCTTCCAAAGGCTTCTGGCTGGTGGAGCCCCACGGAGTCCACCTGCTAAAGGTGCGCCCAGACCTGCCAGGTAAGGGCCGCCCCTTCCTGCCGCCTCCACCCCAGTGCTGAGGGAGCGAAGGCCCTGGGGCCCCTTCCTCAATGCACACCTGTGCTGACAGGGACGCTTCTTAACAACAGGAGCGAGGGAAGCTGAAACCTGGAACACAAACGTGTAGTACAAAATGTAACAAATAAGTAGTGTCTACCTGTCTCCCATGTAGATACATATACAGGATTTGCTTTAAAAAAAAAACAAAAACTTAAAAACACTGACCTAAACCTCTCACTTTACCTTCCTTGAACAAAACCCAAAAAGCCTAGGTGGGGGGTGGGGAGGGGGGTCCCGGCCCAGGGCAGGCACCGCCCTGAGCCATGAGCCATGAGCCATGAGCCTGTCTCCCAGCTGCCCAGCCCTACAGTCAGCCTCCAATATTGCACAACTTCACCCAAGTCAGGTGTTCTTGTTGGACCCCATCATGAAATGCATAAACGTCAGCAGCAGCGGAAACGGGAGGTGCAGCAGGAAGAAGCTTCTGGGCTTCCGCAAGGGCACGCAGGGGCTCAGGGCCAAGTGACCCTCAGGACGGAGTCCCCAGCACTTTGAAGTCACCTCTGCCCTCTCTGAGGTTCTTCCTGCCGTTCCTCCGCAGAGTCCTGGAAAACTAATCCTTGAGCAGTTTATGAAACTTCTCAACTAAAATAAGAAAAAAAAGTCTTCCAGGTTTTGATTTCAGGGGAGAGAATTCCTAGAATCTGTAGATGATCTTTGCCTGGGCTGCTTTAAAACTGATACATGAAGCAGAAAGTTCACAGTTTTCCTTAAAGCAGAAATCAGGAAGTGGAGAGCGTTGACTAAAGAAATGGATAGTAATCAATGTACGCGCACACACACACACACACACACACACACAAGCGGACAACAATGCGCCCGCTCGTTTCCGTAGACGTCCGAGGTAATCATCTCAACCACGACGAACCCAGAGAGAGGGGCCGAGATCCCCACACCACGGCACTGCACGTGTTCCCTCCACCCCGCTCCCCTCCTGCCCCCGCCCCCAGACACGCCCCTCAATTATCTTTCTTCCTAAAGTTTCCAGTCCCTACTCAAAGTTGAGGTCACTCAGTGCAAGAAAAAAATAAAACAAAAATAAACTAAAAAGCCAAAACACCTAACGTATTGCTTATTTCGCTTCTAGAAAGTTCTTGGCTTTGAGGCCAGATGTCTTCACCTCCTCTGAAGTTATTGCTGTAAGAGTCAGTGTCCGTGCCAGGATGCAGGGCTGCCCTCACTGCACCAGGACAAACGTGCCTAGGGAGCAGGGCATCAGGTCCTCCATCTCACAGTCCCCCTGCAGCAGCCCCAGGGGCTCACAACCTGGGGCCAGCCTGGCCAGGCGTGGTGGGGGCACAGCGGGGAGGGCGGTGGGGCCGGTGCCAATGTGCAGGTGTGTGTCCAGGAGCTGCGCCGCTGAGGCCACCGGGGACGCGCCGGTCTGCAGGAGTGGGGGCGGCAGCAGCGGGAGCCCCGACGTGAGGAGGGTGCTGGGGAGCGGGGCAGCCCCAGGGCCATCACAGGGGGCGATCACAAACGGGGCAGGGGCCGGCTGGGGGGCCTGGGAGCAGCCGGGTGCAGCGGCCGGGTGGTGCTGTAACTGGAGCAGCCTGTGGGAACAGAGGACAGGTGGTCACTGCGCCGGCTCGCAGGGTTCTCGGGTTTCCGAGTGCCCGTGTGGCAGGGCCCGCCCGTGGAGCTGCCAGCCGCGGCTGCCGAGGGCAGGTGCGTGGCTGATCCCTGACCGCGCCCCACCTTTCATTCTCCACCCGGTTTCTCAGCAGCTCAGAGATGCGGCCACAAGGCGCCCTCGCTCCCCGCCACCCTCACCCACCCAGGGACTTTAAAGGACACGCCCGCCTGCTGCACCCCCATGGCTCAGCACCTAGGACCTACGCCCCACACATCTCCCTGGCTGGGAGCGGGGGTGTGCACTGGGCTACAGAGAGGAGGGAACCACTTAGCAGATGAGGTTCCTCGAGGAGATAACCTGCCGTGTGCCCACCCGGGGTCCCAGGGCGGGGGCAGGCCCTACCTCTGCTGCTCTAGCACCTCCTCCAGCAGGCTCCAGCCCTCCCGGCTGCCGGCTGCGCCGCCGTGCAGGCCTGGGCTCTGTGCAGGGGCGTGGAAGGGGCTCAGGCCGCCCCTGCTGGCCCGGCTGGCAGGGACCTGGCACACCTGGCGAGCCAGCCCCTTGATTTTGTTCAGTCCCAGAAACCCTTTGGTCCGCGTGGTCTTCCTCAGCTGCTGCCGAAAGGCCTTCAGCCCTGCAGGGAGAATGAATCAGGAGGTCAACGGCCACCCGGCTCTCAGCCCAGCATCCACGGCCCTTGGCTTAAGGGGTTTCCAAGCCTCAGGTTGGGGGTAAGGAAAGGACGGGTGACACAAGCACGTCTGGACAGGAGTCTGGCACCTAAGCCCCAGGATGGCGTGGAGGCAGCTGGCAGCCAGGGGCCCTCCCTCCTCCAAGTCGGGAGGTGCTGCCCAGCACAGAGTCGTCTCCTGTGCTTTCAGAACCAGCCATGGAGGCCGCGTGCTCAGGGACCCATGTGTGTCTATCCCAGCAGGCCGTGACGCCCCGAGCCACCAGAGCACTGAGCACCCCAGCCTGCCCAGAGCACTGAGGGTCCCACCCAGGCCCGGTGGAGAACAGGGGGTGCCATCTGCCATCACGGACAAAGTCACGTACTGCCAGAGACACACATGGTCCCCTGGGGAAGGTGGAGGTAAGTGTGGGAGGAGCGTGGCTCACCTTGAGTCAGTGAGGTGTCCGACGCCCGCCGTCCCTCCTGGAAGCTGACAGGGAGCAGAACAGCTCCTCCCAAGCCCCCCTGAGCCTGCAGCACTGGGGTGGCGGACTGCGACCCCAGGAAGGGCGAGGCCAGCCTGACCGGGGAGCAGGCGCCCAGCAGCCCCTGAGTGGCCGGGGTGCCACTGAGCCCCGCGGGGCTTTTGCTCGCAGAGAAGGTCAGACAACTGTCAGAGCTGGTTCCCTCTGCAGGACTTGCCGTGGTGGAGGGGGAGACGACTATACCTGTGGGGGGAGGACAGCGCTTTTGATGCTGCAGTGCAAAGGAATAGGCTCCCCCGGCCACTGCTGGGCACACATGGCTGCGCTGGCCTCCCCATCCCCACCATCAACCTGGTGGGAAGAGGGCTCGAGGCCACCAGAGCCCAGGGAGCCACAAAGGCAAGCCACCATCACGGTGCAGCTGCAGGGGGCAGGTCATAGTGGGCCTCAGGCCAAGGGGCTGCCCTCCCGGCACCCAGGGGCGGCCTGGGGAGGACCCTGCTGGAGGCCAGACCCCATGCTGTATCCTCCACTGGAACGACCACATGCAGGGCAGGCTCTAAACATCAACTGTGTGGTCTCAGGGATTAAAACAAATGGCAAATCCTGAGAAGTCCAACCTGAGAGGCTGCCGGGCAAAACGTCCATTCTAAATTAGCCCACCCTCACGTCGACCGTAAGCCTATCCACCGGTGTCCTCCTGGGCCCCCGGGGACACTTACATGGCGCGGTGAGTGGGGAGAGGCGGGTGGAGACCTCGGCCAGGGTGTGCCTCCGGCCCGTGCTGCTGGGCAGGGACTCCTGCGTGTCCTGCTCCTCCTCTAGGCCCGGCCCCTGCCTGGCCTCCTCACTGATGGCTGTGTCCAGCAGGCTGCTTGGGGACACGGGCCGGGGCCGGAACACTCCGCTGCAGCTGGCATCCACCGGGAAGAACAAGGGCTGCGTTGGAGAGACACAAGCCAGTGACTTCTCGGACTCCAGGTGACCCGGGCACACCGGGGGCACCAGGGCTGGGCTGAGGCGAGCCCTCTGCACACCCGCTGTGGGCACTCACCCACTGCAGCGAGCTCTGGAGCTCACAGTCCATCTCGGCCTGGAGGACGGACTGCACCAAGGTCTGCGGCTGCGGGCACAGCAAGGCAGGTCGGAAAGGGTCGGTGGAAAGACCTTCCTGAGGCACCTGGGGCCGGCAGACGGGAAAGACGCTGTCAGGGGAGCGACTCCGGACCACCAGCGCCATCAAGAGAAGAAACAAGCTGGCTTCTGTCTGGAGTGCAAGCTGCCTCGCTGGTGGGCATGACAGCTGACGGAGGGACACTGGCTGGCCAGGCTGGGCTCAGGACCAGGTGCTGGTGCTGCGCTGCCAGAAGGTGGCGTGACAGGCCGGCCCCAGGGATGAGTCAGGGACAAGTGGCCTCTGGGCAGAGTCCAGCCCCCAGCAGCTGGCACCCCCTTCCCCACGAGGCCTGGGACCCGCTGCCCACGCAAGGAACCGCCCTCCAAGCCGGTGCCTGACAGGGGAGGGAGCCTGGGGCCTGGGAGGAGACTCCTCCCCCTCACCTCCAAACCACTGAGGTCCGAGCTCCGAGGCCGCGGCTGCCTGGCAGGCCCGGGGCGGGCGCACTGGGCATTCCGATACTCCTTGAGCCGCTCAAGGAGGAGGTAATAAATGGCAGCAAAGTGGTTATAGCTGCTGTTTTGCAGTGACTGGGAACAAGAGGAGCAGAGATCAGCATGGGGATGGCGGGGAGCCCCAGGGCCCACCCGATCCCAGGTTATTCTTGGGTGACTGAGAATATCCTTTAGTGGGGTGGACAAGCCGGCCCCTAAATTAGCCTGTGCTCCCGTTTTAACTCAGCTGGTGAGTGCCTGCTTCCCCTGAGACAGCTGCCTAGCCCCTGCGGGTGAGGCCAGGGCAAGTGTGGCCAGGCTCACCTCCACCGTCCTCTGCCGGTCCACGCCCAGGGTCTGCATGATACCCAGCGCCTGCTCATCGTAGTCGCCCAGGTTGGAGGTGTAGCTGTGTGCGGAGAAGGCGGGGCAGGCGGGTCCCGGCAAGCAGGGCTCAGCCCGCATCCACCGGTGCTGCCGGATCTGGGCGATGGTGATGCGCCTGGCGGGGTCCACCACCAGCATGCGGCGGATCAGGCTCTCACAGTCTGTGGAGGGGCCAGGAGGCTGAGCCAGGGCGGCCGGGACCTCGGCTGCGCTCCCACCCACCGCCCCACGTGGTTTGACACGCCAGGGCCCAGGAGCAGGGGCCGGGCCATCGGCTCAGTCCTGCCACCCAAGGGGAGCCATCAGCCAGGGATCCAGACCCTGGGGGCTGCCACACTTTGTGTCCACCACACAGAGAACCACTTAGGTTCACCCTTCTGCCGTGCCCCACACCTGAGCACCAGGTGGACAGGCATCTTTATGACACAGAAAAGCCGGGTGAGCCACAGCCAGTGGGTTGGACTCAGGGATGATGCCAGCACCCTGGGTGCGGGTACTGGGCGGGGACGGCAGGCGCAAGGCACAAGCCTGTGCAGCAAGGGCACCCGTCCACCCTCGAAATAGGGCACTGAGAAGGCATCCATGGGCTGGGTTTCTCCCGCAGCCCACAGTAACCTGGGCCTGATTCCCAGACTCAACAAGGACTCAGAAGCCAGCCACGAAGGGGCTGCAGGAGACACAGGCCCCTGCCCAGGCGAGACCACACGACTCACCTTGAGACATGAAGAAGGGGATGCGGAAGCGGCCCTCCAGCACCCGCTGTCTCAGCGTCGGCAGGTTAGGCCCATCGAAGGGGAGAGAACCGCAGACCAGGACGTACAGCACCACGCCCAGGCTCTGTTGAGGACCACAGAGCCACATCAGCGCCAGGGCGGTGCCCCCGGGAACACGGCGCCCTCGGGGAACGCGGCCTCGGGAAGGGGGTCTGCGCGCACAGGGCTCCTACCCAGATGTCCAGCTGGGGGCCTTCATACTCCTTCCCCTCAAAGACTTCCGGGGCGGCATACGGGGGGCTCCCACACCACGTGGACAGAGGCTCTCCTGACTTGTAGAAATTCCCAAATCCAAAATCTGAGCGGCAAAGAAACAGATGGATGAGGTTAAACGGCAAATGGCAAGGGGCTGCGGTTTCGGCACAGGGGCTGTGGTTTCGGCACATGCCGGGAAGCTGGGGCTGCTTGCGGGCACACTCCCACCCCGGGGCCTCCGTGCCTGCCAGCTTGATGTCCCTGCTCCCACCCCGGACCCTCCGTGCCTGCCAGCTTGATGTCCCTGCTCCCACCCCAGACCCTCCGTGCCTGCCAGCTTGATGTCCCTGCTCCCACCCCGGACCCTCCGTGCCTGCCAGCTTGATGTCCATGTTGCCATCCAGCAGGAGGTTCTCGGTCTTGAGGTCCCGGTGGACGATGTGATGGTCGTGACAGTACTCCACGGCCGACAGGATTTGCCAGAACTTCTTCCGCGCCTCGTTCTCACTCAGGTGCCCGTTGGAAGTCAAATAATCTGAGGAGCCACAAAACAAAGCTACAGCCCCCAGGGCAAAGCCTGCCCACCACCCATGGAGCCCTGGGGAACACCGCGGGGTCCTGGGATGTGTGGCCCAGACACTGGCCGCGCAAATCCAGACGCGTTCGTGCCATTGGTTTTCAACAGATACTGAAAACGAGTGTGGCTTACCAAACATTTCTCCATTTTTAGCAAATTCAGTGACGATGTAAAGCATGTCCTTTGTTTCCATAACCTAAAGAAGAAAGACCTGACATTTAACCGCACAAAAAAGGCACAAGGCAGCGCTACAAACCATCCACCAGAACCCCAGGAAATTTCTAACTTCTCTAGGACAAAGGCATTCATCATTTAAAAATGCAAAGAAAAAGAAAAATTTCTCAAATAAAAAAAAAATAGGAGATTCCTACTCACAAAGACAGCTTTGAAAAATCAGAGGTGAATTCCTCACTGACTTGCCTATCCTGATACACCTTTGCTCTCACAAAAGGTCTAAATATATTAGAATTCCCCTCTGTGGTCATATTTAATTCAAGACACCTCACATACAATTTGAGAATGCTTAGGCCGGGGCATGGTGGCTCACGCCCTGTAATCCCAGCACTTCGGGAGGCCAAGGCAGGAGAATCGCTTGAGTTCGAGACCAGCCTGGTCAACACGGCAAGACCCCATCTCTACAAAAAATACAAAAACTAGCTAGGTGAGGTGGTGGGCACCTGTAATCCCAGCTACTCAGGAGGCTGAGGCAAGAGGATCATTCGAACCCGCAAGGCGGAGGTTGCAGTGAGCCGAGATCGTACCACTGCACTCCAACTTGGGCGACAGAGCGAGACTCCATCTCAAAAAAGGAGAGACAGTATTCTGAAGGCTACAGAGGAGGAGATTGCTGGAAGTCTGCTGGGCTTTATAGAAGCCTAGTAGGCAACAGATGATTCCAGCCAACGGTCAGAGCCACCTGGGTAATAGAGAATGCACACCCCATTCCCACTCGCTTGATTGACAGGATGAATGACGCTGTGGGAACCCAGCTTTATTGACAGGATGAATGAGGCTGTGAGAATCCAGCCTCATTCACTCAGCATGTAGCCATTCACTCAGCATGTAGCCACACAACAGCCATGCCAACATAGCCCTTTGAAGTTCATTCACTAATCAATAACTTTATTTTACTTAAAAAGAGATTTAAAAATATAACTTATGTCTGTGAGTATTGAAAAATTTTGGAGAGGATGAGGCAATATATTCTTATGAAAAAAGATTTTTTTGGGTTCAAAATATAGTTATTCCTTTAAAAAGATGCTTTGTGCTGGAGGTGGTGGCTCATGCTTGTAATCCCAGTACTTTGGGATCACCCAGGCTGATCACTTGAGGTTAGGAGTTCGAGACCAGCCTGGTCAACATGGTGAAACCCCATCTCTACTAAAAATACAAAAATTAGCCAGGTGTGGTGGCGCGTGCCTGTAGTCCCAGCTACTTGGGAGGCTGAGGTAGGAGAATCGCTTGAACCCAGGAGGTGGAGGTTGCAGTGAGTCACGATCCATAGCGCCACTGCACTCCAGCCTGGGCGACAGTGAGACTCCATCTCAAAAAAAAAAAAAAAAAAAAAGATGCTTCAAAGATTGCTGCTTTGAGTTATAAATCTAAAAAGAAAAGTGTTCTATAAATTCTAGCAGTTTGGCAAGAATTTTAACTGCCCCGCCCCTGTGGGTGGTACAATAACTCTAAGACCACTGCTGACCCGTCCCCAACTGAAGAAAGGGAGGAGGAGGAAAAGAATTAAAAGTCAAAGTGTTTGAACTTTTTGAAAACTTGAAAAAAAGAGGGAAGTGTCTCAGCAGGGTTCTGGGGCCCCGGCCAGCGGAATGAAAATTAGACACTAGTGGCCGGGCGCGGTGGTTCATGCCTGTAATCCCAGCACTTTGGGAGGCCGAGGCGGGCGGATCACAAGGTCAGGAGATCCAGACTATCCTGGCTAACACGGTGAAACCCTGTCTCTACTAAAAATACAAAAAATTAGCTGGGTGTTGTGGCGGGCGCCTGTAGTCCCAGCTACTTGGGAGGCTGAGGCAGAAGAATTGCTTGAACCCAGGAGGCGGCAGTTGCAGTGAGCCGAAATCGCGCCACTGCACTCCAGCCTGGGTGACGGACAGAGACTCCGTCTCAAAAAAGAAAAAAAAAAAAAAGACAGGAAGAAAGAAAGAAAAGAAAGAAAATTAGACATTAGCATCAAAACCAGAGGAGTAAAAGTCATTGCTACACCACTGAATTCTATCATCTCCCAACAGTTAAGAATCACATACAGCAGCAGTAAGAAAATGCACCTCCAGAAAAGACCTCAGCAGCAAACACATGGGCAATTTGTTTCTTTAACGGAGCTAATTCCACACAATGGGCAAAGGAGAAGAACAGGAAGAAAAGGAAGGTACTACCATTAGGGTTCAGCCCTTGAGCAAAGTCAAAAACAAAACCAGCTCAGCCCACTCCTGAGGAAATGGGCTGGGCACGCTGCACAGGCAGTACACCAGTGGCCATGGAGCACACAACTTAAAAATGACAACAGAAACAAAACACAAACCAGGCGCACACGGCATGAATTCTGTGCTTAAAGACACTGAGCAAACTGTCGTAAGCTCCACCAATACTGCTACTTTTATTTTCAATCTAGTGCAGAGGCTTTTGGGGGATAATTTCGAATCATAATTCTCTCTCCTACCACACTGTACACCGAGCTGTCCTAATTGCACAAACACACACAACAACATCCCAGAGTCATCTCACATTCCATTTCATAAGAATCATTACGAGGAACTTCAACCCAACACAAATGGATGAAATAGCACCTGCAAAGAACTTCTTCTGCAAGAAGACTTGATTTCACCTTGCAAAAGTGGTCATTTGTCATTAGGGAGGTGTAAATGATTGCTTTGCTGTTCTAATTAAATTAGTACTTATTTCCTGATGATATAATTTATTAATTTCAACATGAGAACAAAAATTAAGTCACAAAATAAACCAACAGAGAGACAGGGCAAGCCATGTTCCTAGCATGGATTAAATGACAAGCTCCTTGCTCTTACTATGGAAAAGTATTTTCATCTCTCCGTTTTTCATGGAAGAGTTTAAATAGGGAAAACAAATGCTCACTACTGTCCTTGCAAAAATAAACTAATGAAAACCAGTAAGAGCAGCTGGCTTTAAAGTTTAATAATTATCTGCAAAGGCAGAAGTTTCCAGTTTCACTCAAATTTGTCCTTTTATACTAAATGCGTGACCTGTGGCAATACCTACAGATAAGTTTGTCTGTTTTCATAGTAAAGCAAATTTACAACAGACTTCTACACATTTAAAACTGGATCAGGTTAGGATACTAAATAAAATTCTAATGAAGCAAATCTCAATTATGATCCAAAAGCAATAAAATAATTGTAAATATATCTGCACAGCCTATAAAAATCAATCTATTTACCTTATACAACCAAATGCCCAACTTCCACACACTCCCCAAAAGGGAAGCCACCTTCAGAAATTGCAGACTTATGCTGTTGGAAATAAAATATAACACATTTGCCAGGATTAGCAGAGAAAGGCAAGCTGACCCCTTACCTGGTAAAGCTTTATGATGTGTGGATGGTTCAGAAGCTTCATCAGCTGAACCTCACGATAGATTTTCTCCAAATTGCTTGAATCTAATCGTGTTTTATCAATTATTTTTATTGCAACCTACAAATTTAAAAAGAAAAAGGATATTCTGTGGGTTTTTTTAAAAAAAGAAAAGAAACCCTCAACCTAATTTACACATTTCATTTTTTGCAAGTTAATTTCTCAACACTCTGTCTCCAGAAGGTCACAAGAAGTTGGGAAAACATAACCAAAGTAACCACTAATGTTATTTAAAATAATCAGAGTTAAGTAAGTGACTTAAGTATTTGCAGGCTCACTTTACAGGGTTTAGCTCTGAGTCCATGAACCACTGCAATCTTAGGTTGGTCCTTTTTTTTGCTATTATCCTCTCTGCTTTCTCCCAATATATGTCCAAATTATGCAGCAACATAATATAAAGCATTATTTTTCTTTACCGAACTAAAAACGGTTACTATTTACCCACCACGACAATCAAGCCTGGAGCAGTGAATCTGCATGGGGTCCACCCGCCAAAGGTCGGGTCGCCCCGGGTCCAGTGGGGAGGCCCCGCCGGCTGGGTCCCACCGCCCCCACGCACCTGCGTTTTGGTGACTCGATGCCGCGCCAGCTTCACCACCGCGAAGTTGCCTTTGCCCAGGGTCCGCTCGATGTCGTAAAAACCCACCCGGAGGGGCTTCTGCTGGCCCTGACCCTGGCCCGCGGGGTCCGCGCTGAACTCCGACATGATAACCATGGCTCCGCGCGCACCTGCGGGGCCGCACAGAGCTCAGAGCCCACCAGCGCCCCCGCCGCCCGCGGTCGGCTCCATCCGTGCCCGCGGAGCCCCCAGTCCCCACGGGACGCAGGGACCTGCTCCCACGCCTGTCGCCCCCACTCTATCCACGGGCCCCTCCAGCCCCGTGGGAGGTGTGGACCCGCCCCCGCCGCCCGCTCCACCCGGACCCCCGACCCTCTTGAGCCCCGCGGGGCGCACGGACCCGCTCTCATAGAGGCCCCTGCCGCCCGAGTCCGGTTCCGTCCCGATCCCGGGACCCCCTGAGCCGGGATTCCACACTCGCCTCCCGCCGCCCGCTGTCGGTTCCGTCCCCACCCTCGACCCCTTTAGCACCTCTGGGCGCGGACCCGCTCCCACACCTGGCCCTGCCACCCGAGGTCGGCTCGATCCGGATCCCAGGACCGTCCCCTGCCCCGCTCCCACACCCTGCCCCCGCCGCCCGCGATCCGTCCGGTCCCCACCCCCGACATCCCAGGCACCTCGGGGATCGCGGACCCGCCCCCCACACCCGGTCTCTCCGCCCGCGGTCGGCTCCAACCTGACCCCCGGCTCCCCAGCCCCTGAGCCCCGCGGACTCACTCCTACCCCGGCCCCCCAACAAAGGGGAGCCCGAGGGCGGCCAGGCCGCCAACCCCGCCCGCGAACCCCGCGCGCGCAAGGCCAGGGACCCTGCGCGGTGGCTGCAACCCCGAGCCCCGGCCCGGCGCCCGCGCGGAGCCCCCACGGCGGCCACCTCCGCCCGCCCGGAGCCCGCCGCTGCCGCCGCTGCCGCCGCTGCCGCCGCCTCACCTCCGCCGCCACCGGAGCGCCCAGGCCAGGAAGCCGCCCGCTCGGCCGCTGGCGCTGCTCGGGTGCCTACTGCTCCGGCTGCCGCCGCCGCTGCTGCTGCCTCCGGGGCCGCGCCGCATGTCAGCCCGGAGCCGCCGCGCTCCGCCGCACGCGGCGCCCGGCCCCGCCCCGGCCCGCCCCGGCCCGCCCCCCGTAGTCCCCGCCCCCTGCCCCGCCCCCGCCGCCCGGGCGGGGGCCGCCCATTGACGTCGCTTTGACGCCAGAGCGACGCGCGGCCGAGCGCCGGGCGGAGGGAGAGCGGGAGATCGGGCGGTTGCCAAGAGACTGGCGGCTCTGACGCGCGCGGGATGAGGCCGTTGCCCTGGCGACCGCGGGCCGGTGACGTCAGGGGCGCCCGCCGCCCGAGGCCCGCCCGCCTGCGCTCCGCCGGGCGCCCCCTCCCGGGCGCTGGGGGCACTGCGGGCGGCCCCACCGCCGAGGGCGCGCCCGCCCCTCCACGCTCGGGCACTCGGGCCGGGTCCCGCGGGCGCCTTGTGCTCGCTCCCTCCAGGAGGGGACGGCTCTCGGGCAGGGGTCGCCGGCCCCTCCACGCGGCCTGCGTTCGTCCAGACTCAGAGCCTCGGGACGTGCGGGGGCCCGGGGGCCTCGCGGGCTCGCGCGTGGGGCTGGCGGCGCGGATGCCCTGGGGCGCTGCAGACCCCGAGAGGCCGCTTGCCCGCGGGGACGTCAGCCGCTTTTGCTGTTAAAATCTGAAATGTTCAGCAAGTTAGAAACTTGAAACCTAAGGAAGCGTGACCGGCCGCTCTGGAAGCCCCCGCCGCGCGGCCGGTCCCGGCCCCGGCCCTCAGCGGCGCTGGCGTCTGCGCGTCCCGGGGCTGCCCCCGCAGCATGTGGGGCTGGGACCCTCTTCCCGCGCGGGCCCCGGGCGGACGCTGCGGGCGGTGACGGAGCCAGGCCGGCCGCCTGGGTAGGGGACGGGGGCGCGGGACCACTTGCTTGCCCGTGGCCGATGCCTCATCCGAACGGAAAACGTTTTCTTCAGGGGAGACAGAGGCTGTGGGCGAAGGTATTTTTTAAGCCTGAGGACCCATTTGGGAGTTAGATTCTGGATCGAGCCTAGGGTCAGTTTTCCTTGTGTTAAATAACACTACTTCACAGAAGGGGGAACGAGAATTCAGGGAAGTTGGCACAAAACTTGGAACCCTTCTCGGGAGGCTTTCCTGCCTGGACGGACGCCTGGGAGGAGGGCCCGGAGAAACGAGGATGAGCTTCTCCTCATTCGCCCGAGGGTCTGACCACAGATTTCCCAATCGACACACACACACACACACACACACACACACACATACACACACACGGGTTGTTTGGGAGTCAGTTGGTTTTCAAAGGCTTTCAAGGAAATGAAGAGTCCCAAAGTTTTCCTTAATCGTTCAGAGTGTTTTTCTTTGTCCCAGGTTTATATACCAAGAATACGGGGGAATATTTTTAGTTCCTTTCAGCTGAACAGTGTACAACTGCCTTTTTTCCTTTTGGAGGTCCCAACACCCTGTTAATCCGCTCCTAGGAGAACTAAACAAAAACAAGGCTGGACGTCGTGTCTCCCGCCTGTAATCCCAGTGCTTTGGGAGGCTGAGGCAGGAGGATCAGTTGAGCTCAGGAGTTTGAGACCGGCTTGGTTAACATAGCAAGACCTCACCTCTATAAAATACTTTTAAAATAGCCAGGTGTGGTGGCACACGCCTGTGGGGCCGGCTACTTGGGAGCCTGAGGTGGGAGGATGGCGTGAGCCTGGGAGGTTGAGGCTGCAGTGAGCTGTCATTGCACCACTGCACTCCAGCCTGAGCAAGAGAACAAGGCCCTGTCTCAAAAAAGAACAAAGATAAAAGGCGGGGTGGGGGAGAAACCAGGCCCCTGATCACACTCACCATTCAGTCCCTCAGCCTGTGACTTGAAATACTGCCCCCCGCATCCAGGAAGCAGGCTTCCCCACCCCTCCCACCCTAGCCAGAGTCTTCCAAAAGGTCTTAGGTATTTGCAAACACCTGGCTGGCTGTTTGGAAACATTGCATCAGCACCAAATAAAAACTGCAGCCAAAACTGCCTCCGCAGAACAGGTCCCCAAACTCAGGTGCACTTGACCTTTCACCCTGACCCAGCCCTGAGCTTCCAAAACCCAGAACAGCCCTGTGCCAACCATGGCCATCCTGTTTTCCCTTCCCTGGGCCCGTGGGCAAGGAGCTCGCTCTGCAGAGAAAGGCAGGAAGCACAGAGGAAAAGGCCAAGCTTGGAACGGCTGTCCCGTCTCCCCACTGGGGGAACCCCTGGCACCCTCATAACTAAGTCTGTGCTTCAACCTGGTCTCTGTTACCCAATGTCTTTTGTTGTTGTTTGTGTCCTTGACCCCCCGAGGCTGTATTTCCTCTCAGAAGCTTTGATTTCTTTTCTGTTTTCTGGTCTTCCGTGCCTTTAACACGAGGAAAAATAAAACACATGGTGTGAGTGTAAGGATGGTACAAGCAAATGATTGGAGAAGCTCCTCACTGAACATAATGGAAGGAATGCTCCCAAAGTCTGCAGGAACGGTACTTTATTATTATGGTTTGCATATTATTACAGATTTGTGGAAAACGGCAAGTCAGTTTTCCTTTCCACATGGACTTTCTTCAGCTTGTCTTATGATTGCCGTGTTTCTGGAGTTCATCTTGTTTTTTAGGCCTTAAGACTGGAAACCCCAACAGGAAATGGGTCCATTTATTATTCATAGTTGTAACGCTGGCCACTGGCATGTCACAAAACTCTCAAAATCAATTGATAAACACAGAGAATGGAGCGTGGGGCAGCATTTTTGCAAAGGGATGGGTGCCCAGCTGGCCCCAGTGCCGCCCTCTGTGAGGAAGGAATCTCCCAGTGCAGCCAGGAGTCAGACGAGTTCCTCTTCCCGACCCTACCCTCCCATCTTCGACGCCTAAGGCCCTTCCCTGTCTTCCTGGCTTTGCTTCAGGTGGTTTTGTACTTTTTAAATTTTGTTTTGGTTTGTTTAGGCTTCAGCCTAGCGGCTTTAGGTGCCAGAAAATCAGATTAACCACTGCAGCGGCATCCTTCTCAGGGACCCGGGGGCCACGTTGGTCATTTTGCCCCATTGTATCTGGAGAGCTTGACAGACAGACATGTGTGCACTAGGTCAGGAAGCCACGGCCCTGGCCTGGGAAGAGGGCAGGTAGGAGAAAAGCCCCCAGCCCCCTCCACCCTCAGGGAATGGCCCAGTTGTCCACAGGTTAAGTCAAGAATCCCCCGCGAACAGGTCAAACCAGAGACTGCCCAGTCCCAGCGTCCGCCCCCAGGGCATTGCTTCCTTCACCTCCTACACTTGGCTCCCTGTGGTTCCGTGGCTGCCACAGTTGTGTGGATCCTACCGGGCCCAGGGCCCCTCCCCATCTCAGACAGCACCCACTTTCAGGCTAGGCCTTCCACGGGCTGCTTAAATGGACCACGAAGGCCGGCAAAGCAGCAGAAACGTGCCTGTTCACGGGCCAGTCGGCCCTCCCCGCTCCAGCCCTCTAGGGTTTCTGGTTCCGGTTTCTGTCGCTGCCGTTAGTGAGGAATTATTCATGTGGCCAATGCGTTTTCTTGACATTTAAGCAGGGCTGTGGCCGATATCAAGGCTGAGGACCCAAGAGGCCTTTGGGTGTCTGTGTCCCTGAGCCATATGCTGAGGTCGGACGGCGGGGGAGGGGGGTGCAGGAAGGGGCCAGCCCCAGCGAGAGTCAGCCAGGCCCCAAACAGAGCCAGGGGTTCCCCCGGGGGGGAGTGCTCACTTAGGAAGAGCACCATGGACAGCCTGGCAGGAGGTCACCCTGTGCTGAGCAGGCAGCTCTGGAGTAAACCACCTGCCTCTCTGTAGGAAGAAGGAAACCGCATCCGCAAACGGAGCAAAGGTCCCCAGAGGCAGAGCAGAAGCCTCTGGGATGCTGCAGCTTTGTGCAGACACTGGGGACCAGGACTGGAGCAGGTGCTGGCCGTGCTCTTTATCCTGGGCACTCTGCCAGGGCCACACGGAGCGTGGCTCCCGGGAGATGGAGACGTCTGAGTGTCAGCTCAGGTCTCGGTGTTTCCAGGTGACATGCTGGCTGCTAGTGTAGAGCATGGTAAACCATCTTTTTTTTTTTTTGGTTACTATTTACTTATGCAAAATAATGTGAGTTTCTGCCATTTGCAACAAGTGTGCCAGCTGCAATGAGTCAGCGGGTGGACACAGGTGAGCATGGCCAGACTGTGCCAGAACATGGTGACAGACAGACATGCTTCGAAGTTCACTGTGGGAAGGGACAGGTCCCCAGAGAGAGGTGAGACGGTGCAACGCGAGGGTGAGTTCGGAGTCGTCCTCCAGATGTCCACAAAGGCTCGAGAGGCCCTGCTGTGTGTCAGGCACTGCGTGAAGGTTGTGGGCACAGTAGGAGGGACACAAGACACCTTCTCTCGAGGACCGTTGGTTCCAGTTGCGGAGACAGTAACAGCATAAGATGATGAGTAAGAAAAGAATGCTGGCAGGAAAGTGGCCATGGAGGGAACTGCTTCCGGGCCTCTCCGTGGGATTTGCCAGGCGTGGACTGAGCGAGGACCTTCCCTGAGAACACCAACTGCTCCAGGAGAGAGAAGAGGTGGAGCCCCGGCGGGGGGCATGGGGCAGGAGGCAGCCACCCACACCTTCCCTCTCTGAATGCTGAGCAGAGGCTCTCAGCAGAGGGGAAGAAGAGCAGAGGCCACGATTGGGAAGACAGACCCAGTGGGGGTCCTTGGCGCCGTCCACATCCATCTGCAACCTGCTGCCCAGCGCCTGCCTGCCCGGGGTGTGCACAGAGCAGTGTGGTCTGTCCCGGCTTCACGGCCTGACACGGCCAGGCGAGGATGACAGGGAAAGGGAGGCAGGGACTTGGGGCTGTTGGAGCCAAGCTGAGGAGCAAGGAGCTGCGATGGGAAGCGGGTGGCAGGAAGGAGCGTGAGGCCTGTGGGTGGAAGGTCTCTGGCCTTGGAGATTGAAGCGTTTCACTTGTGCATCTCACAGCCCAGAGAAGCCAAGCCCGGACCATGGGGGAGAGAGGAGGACCCCCGTCTCAGGGCGGGCTGAGGAGACGCTCTCTCCACGGCTTCCGGATGGGTCTCCCTCCATCTCAGCTGCATCTATGGGAAAACGATGAAATGCTCCCTCCACTGCCGGGCCTTCTCTTATAAAGCAGGTTTCTTCGAAGTATAAAAATTAATAGAAAAGGTTCCATAGAAAATCAAGAAAGTAAGTATGTAAAGATGAAAACAAAAAGCACCGGAAATGCTCTTCATAGCTGACGTTTTCTTATTCACTTTTTATTAAAACAGGATGAGGCGTCCTGCCTTTTCCAGCCTTATCTAGGAAGTGTCTTGCCAGGTCACCAAATGGCAAGCAGAACCGTAAGCTGAAGTTGTCTGCCTAGAATTCCACTGTGGCAATGTTCAGCATCCCGACTGGACAGCTCCGTGCGGCGGCATCGGGGGCGCGGCGGCATCGGGGGCGCGGCAGCATCGGGGGCCCTTTTCATGCCATTCAAGGCCCCGTGGAAACAGACACCACAGCTCAGCATGAGACTGTGGCCCCACCTGACCTGGCTCATCCATCCCCAGCCTCTCGTGGTCCCCGGCCCTATGCCGACATTTGGCACTCGATGAGCCATTTCTCCACATTTCAGGAGCCTTGTTTTAAGACAGCCTGGCTGTCTGAGAGCCACCGGAGTCGAGACTGGATGCCCGGCCTGGTGCCCGTGGGCCAGCACCGCCTGAGGAGGAGGGGTCTCTGGAGGCCACAGGCAGAGCCACTGAGAGGGATCTTTAAGCAGAGGGCCCCACACACCTCCTGGGACCCACGGGTGTGGCTGCCATGCAGGGTCTGGGAGCTACAGAGAGTCGGGAACCAAGGGCGCGGTGGCTCACACCTGTAATCCCAGCACTTTGGGAGGCCAAGGATCACGAGGTCAGGAGATCGAGACCATCCTGGCTCATACGGTGAAACCCCATCTCCACTAAAAATACAAAAAATTAGCCGGGCGTGGTGGCGGGCGCCTGTGGTCCTAGCTACTCGGGAGGCTGAGGCAGGAGAATGGAGTGAACCCGGGAGGCGGAGGTTGCAGTGAACCCAGATTGCCCACTGCACTCCAGCCTGGGCAACAGAGCGAGACTCCGTCTCAAAAAAAAAAAAAAAGAAAGAAAAAAAGTAAAAACAAGAGAGTAGGGAGCCAAGTCCCTGGGTTGCCAAGTCAATCCGTGGAAGCCCCTGACTTCGAGCAGGACACAGGGCCCTAAGGACAGCCCCAGCCCCTGCAGTGTGGCCTGCAATGGGTGTCATTCATTTTGACCTGGCTGTTGTGGTTTTGGGTGGTATTGTTATTTGTTTGAAAAGAAAACACATGGGCTGCGTATGGCATGAGCAAGTACAGACGTCATTGGGATCGGCTAATGAAAATGACAGAGTACTCTAAAGTGACACCTTACAGGGACGTGGTGATGTGGCACCAGGCCCAGTGGCACCAGCACACCACCGTCTCGCTGGCATTTCCACCGTGGTCCCTGTTAAACCAGAAAGAACGAAAGTGTGATGGGGAAAAATAAGTATGTGTTTCTTGTAAAACACAGCTCATTTCAAAACTACTGAGAACAAGGGGACAGTTTGAAATTGGGCAGAGCCCCTTGGGACCAGCTGGACCAGGAAGAAGGTCCAATCAGCTCTTCCTCAGGGCCAGGAATCTCTCGGTCACTCCGAGGCCTGGAAGAAAGTTTCCAGAACCTTTTTTTGCACAAATAAACTGCAGATCTGAAATCAGCAAGAAGGTTCAGGACCTGGGCCCCCAGGATTGGAACCACGGGAGTCTCAGATCCTCAAACTAGCTGGGTTTGCTTCAGTTTTCTCAGGTGGGACGGGCCACCCTGGGTTTCCCAGGGTGATGTCCCGACAGTGGAGGTGAGATGTCACAGAATGGAGGATGTGATATGATCTGTAACATGGAATCCAGCAGAAGCTCCAGCACTTAAAAGACAGGAAGCAGTGGAGGGCCTGGGTGTCCCAGCCTTCATCATTCCCTCACCTGGAGCAGTTGGTGTCCTCAGGGAAGGTTCTCATTCAGTCCATGCCTGGCAGATCCCATGGAGGTGCCCGGGTGATTCTGGCACAAGGGCTGGAAGATTCCTTCTTTGATCCCTGCTGGTGGCCGGAGCTGGCTCACAGGCCTGGGGCTGCTCAGCTGCAGGACAGTGGGAGGAGGTGGGCTCTGGGTTCCTCAACCCGGCTCACAGCCCTGCTCCGACTGTCCCTGCTGGGCACCCCTGGCGGTGATATCATCAGCCTGGGCCTCCGTTTCTTTTTTCTTTTTTTTCTTTTTCCTGAGACGGAGTCTTGCTCTGTCTCCCAGGCTGGAGTGCAGTGGCACAATCTTGGCTCGCTGCAACCTCCACCTCCCAGGTTCAAGTGATTCTCCTGTCTCAGCTTCCCGAGTAGCTGGGACTACAGGCATGCACCACCACGCCCAGCTAATTTTTGTATTTTTAGTAGAGACGGAGTTTCACCATGTTGGCCAGGCTGGTCTTGAACTCCTAACTTCAGGTGATCCGCCCACCTTGGCCTCCCAAAGTGCTGGGATGACAGGCGTGAGCCACTGCGCCTGCCCTCCATTTCTTTATGAACAGTGTGTGGTCCCAGCATCCTGAAGTTGGTGTGAGGTGCAGGTGGGACGGCTTTGGGGCAGGCCCCAGTGCAGACGGCCCTGCTGCTGCCCCTGCCCGTGCCGCTGCCCCTGCCCCTGCTGCTGCCCCTGCCCCTGCCCCTGCCCCTGCCGCTGCCTCTGCCCCTGCCCCTGCTGCTGCCCCTGCCCCTGCTGCTGCCTCTGCCCCTGCGTTCCTGAGCAGGCCACCATGCTACTCTTTGGGAGTCCTTTTTCTTCTTTTTAAATGAGGCTTGATTGGCTTAGGGAGAAACAGGAGACACCGCATACCATGCAGTTAAAAATGAAACTCGGATTAAATGAATATTGAATTCAGTACTGTACTGGCTTCCTAGAGCTGCTGAAATGCAAACTGGGGGCTTAAAACCATGGAGACGTATTCCCCCACAGTTCTGGGAAGTAGAAGCTCGAATGCCTGTTGGCAGGGCTGAGCTCCTCTGCAGGCTGTGGGGAAGGACCTGTCCCATGCCTCTCCTGGCTCCTGGTGGCCGCTGGTAAGCCTTGGTGTCCTGTGGCTTGTAGACACATCTCTCCAAGTGCTGCCTCTGCCTCCATCTCCGCGTCTTCCTGCCGCCTCCTTATAACGACGGCAGCCATTGGAATGGGGGCCCACCAAAATCCAGTCTGACTTTGTCTTCATTTAACTGATGATATCTTTAAAGATCCTGTTTCCAAATAAGGTCACATTCTGAGCATCCAGGGGATGCGAGTTTTGGGGAGACTCGATTCCACGAACACCAGCATCGAAGAGGGCAGGGCACAGAGATGAAGCTAAGGTCCAGGGCGCACACACTGATGGGCACCCTTGAAATAACGGCAAGGTTGGTACGGGCACATCTCGATCGGAGGGGCCGAGGGGTGAGGGAGGGTGGGGAGGAGACTCCCAGAATGGGAGACACCAGCTAAGCAGTGGGGCTGGGAGAGGGCTCCAGGATAACGAGCAGTTGGGCGGGGGACGACACAGGAGAGCACACAGCGGGGGAGCAGGGCAGGGGACGACAAGGGAGAGAACACGGCCAGCCCAGGATCCTCGCCCTGCCTTCGCCTCGAGCCCCAGACCAGACTCACCCTGACGATGCCTGCTCCCCATCTACTGCCTCCAGGGACCCCCTATGGGTTCCCCCACTCATAAAGAATGCCGAGGAGTTAGGAATAGGACAAGCACGTGTCCCTCAAGGCTACTGTTGGGATGCCCAGGACTTGTCTGAGCCCTTCTCTAGACCGGCTGCTCATCCACCCGCTGCCTCTAAAACCAGGTAAGAGAAGGGGAGAGAGAGGGTCAGGAGATGCCCTGGCCCAGGAGCAGAAGCTCCCCTGGAGGCCTCGGTCTGTGGGCCTCCTGCAGGCTGCACAGGGGGGGCCACAGCTGTCCTCACCCAGGGGCCATGCCCTCCCAAAAGGAGGCCACCAGAGGCCCCTTGTCCCACATTTTTGGAGTGTGGACAGCCAAACTGGGTCATTCAGACCCAACCTGGTCACTGTGGAGGGAATGGGCTGTGCCCCACTCCCCACCCAATACCAGGCCGAGGCCAGCAGGTCTGAGGGTCCCTGTGGAGCTCTGTCCTGCCCCAGCCCCGGCCAGCTGTCCTACTGGCTCCTCTAGTCCTCTTCTTAGGTAAGGCTGAGAAAGTGGGTCAAAGGCAACAACCTCAGAGCCTCTGGCCGCTCCTACCTGAAGGGCCGGGGCTCTGTGTGGGTGAAGACCGGCAGCTTCCTGGAGTAACCAGAGGGCTGAGCCTCCTCCTTGACTTGTTCGGAGTGTTTCTTCACTGACCGGTTTACCTGGGTGTGCATACGGAGGGTGAGCCACTGGAACAGTGAAAGCGTCCACCCTTCACTGAGTCAGTCCCTCTCCCGGAAGGGGCCAGGGACAGGGCAGGATGGCTGGGCATTGCAGGAGATTCTTCCCCTCTGGCCACATTCTCCCCATGCTGGGGAGGTGGGGGTCAGAAGCCCACCAAACAGACGGGGAAGTAGGGACAGGTGAGCCAGACCGGATAGTGGGGCACCACCCTGTCCCTGGGAACCCCCATGACTGCCTCGTCTCCATCCCCTCTAAAATGCCAGGTCCACAAAACCACGGTGAGATGCCACCGCACACCCATTGGAATGGCTACCATCAAAACACAACAGAAAATTACAAGTGTCTGCAAGGAAGTGGAGAAGCCGGAGCCCTTGTGCACTGCTGACGGGAATGTGAATGGTGCAGTCGCTGTAGGAAATGGTCGGTGAGTCCTCAGATGGCATGGTGATCCCACAGGCAGTTCACACGAGCAGGAGGTGGGACACTCAAACATCCATCCACAGATGAATGGAGACACAGAATGTTCCACAAAATGGAATATTACTCAGCCTTAAAAAGGAAGGAAGTTCTGAGACATGCTACAACACAAAGGAACCAGGAGGACATCATGCTGCGTGAACGAAGCTGGTCCCAAGAGGACAAATGCCGTATGGTTCCACGTGCACAAGGTCCCTGGAGTACTCAAATCCACAGAGGCAGAAAGTAGAGTGGGAGGTGCTGGGGCTGGGGGAGTGAGTGTTTAATGGGTTCAGAGTTTCAGTTTGGGAAGAGGGAAAAGTTTGGAGGTGGATGGTGGTGATGGTTACACAGCAGTGTCAATGAACTTAACGTCACCAAACTGTGTGCTTTCAGATGGTTAAAATAGTAAATTTTATGTTATGTGTATTTTACTGCAATAAAAAAATGTTAAGCCAGGTCCCATAGTTCAGCAAGAACCAAAAGGGCCACAGGACCTCCCAGTAGCTCCCTGCCCCGTCCTTAGAAACCTGAGCCCCCTCTGGCACGGAGGGAGGCCTGGCACAAGAGGCTGGCAGTGGGGTGGGCCTTGGCAGCCCACCTGCAGCCTGGCCTGGGCTCCACATCTGCGAGGACTACACCGGGTGCTCCCAGGAGCTCCGAGTTCTCAAGAGACACCTCAGCTTTCTCATCCCCAAAACCTCCTTCTCTCCATTCGGAGCGTCTCCCCTGAACCCGACATGCTTCCCCAGTGGGAACTATGCTCTCCCCTGCCCCACCCCGGTGGACGGGTCCTGCTGCTGCCCTGACACCCTGGCACTTCAGGCAGCCACTGGAAGGGCCCAGAACCAGGAGCACAGGTGCTCCTGAGCCATGCCCAGCCACCCCCGGTGGGGGCAAGCTCCGTGGCTGCGCCACGCCCTGGAGGGCTTTAGAAAGCAGCTGTGTTTGCTTTGCCCCTAGATGTCACTTAGAAACAGTGTGTCCCATAATTGTTTTCTGGGGATATTTTTGGCTTTTTTTTTTTTTTTTGAGATGGAGTTTCGCCCTTGTTGCCCAGGCTGGAATGCAGTGGCATGATCTTGGCTCACTGCAACCTCTACCTCCCGAGTTCAAGCGATTCTCCTGCCTCGGCCTCCCAAAGTGCTGGGATTACAGGCGCGCCACCATGCCTGGCAAATTTTTGTATTTTTAGTAGAGACGGGGTTTCCCCATTGTGGCCAGGCTGGTCTCAAACTCCTGACCTCAGGTGATCCACTCGTCTCGGCCTCCTAAAGTGCTGGGAAACAGGCATGAGCAACTGCTCCCGGCCATGTCCCATAATTGAATCTGTGCTACCAAATTTATATTTTATAAATATATATTTTTAAAAATTCCAGTTTGTAGCAAAGATGGTACTGTGGTTTGAAAGTGTTCCCCAAAGTTCATGTGTCGGAAGCTTGATCCCCAACATGGCCGTGTTGGGAGATGCGGTCTCATGGGAGGTGTTTGGACCGCAGGGGCACGACCCTCACAAGTGGGTTAATATTTTATTACAGCAAATATATACTAAGTTTGTTGGCCTTTGTTGGGCCTGTTTATTACATCTTGGATTTTCAGTGACTTTTTTTCTTCTACCTTAGTTTAAAACAGTGCACATGAAAGGATTTAGAATTTTAAAACTTTTTTCTTGATGATAAAATGGAATATATGATTATTATAAAAAATATATATGAAAATAATAATACTAACATATAAGAAATAATTCATAATTCTACCACTCAGATATCATCACTCAGTATTTTGGTGCATTTTTTTCTAGTTGAATAGATGTAAATTTTTAAAAAATAAATTTGGATTGTACCCCATATGAACACTCTTATAGCCTCTCTTTCTATTTGTAGAAAGAGAATTCCATGTATCATATATAATTTAAATACATTATTCTTAATATCTAATATCTCATGTTTAACATGTAACATTCCCATTTATTTAACATTTCTATTTGTAGACATTATTGTTTCTACACGTTACTATAAACAGTGTTATTGTGAGCATCTTTCCCAAAACTCTTAATTCCTATGTGAAATTTTTCCCTAGGATAAAGCCTTAAAAATGGAATTACCAAGTGAAAGAGGATAAAGTGTCTTAAAGCCTTTGATATATGTTGCCAAACTGCTGGGGCACCCCTGACCTTAAACTGTGCCAACATTTAAGAATTTTCATTTTAAAAATATTTTGCTAAGTTCAGAAGTGGAAAATAATATCTGTATTAGTTCCCTAGGGCAGCCATAACAAAGTATAAAAAACAGGCAGTTCTAAACAACAGAAATGTGTCCTCCCACAGTTCTGGAGCCAGATGTCTGAAATCTGTGTGGGCAAGGCCATGTTCCCTCTTCAGCCTCCTGGCGAGATTCCTTTCATGCCTCTTCCAGCTTCTGGAGGTTCTCAGGGACACCTGTCAGTCGTTGGCTTACAGATCCCTCATCCAGTCTCCGCCACCATCTTCAGATGGGCCGGCTTTTCCCGGGGCCTCCCTCTCTTCTTATAAGGACACCAGGCATTCTGTATTTAGGACCCAGCCTACTCCAGTATGGTCTCACTCTAACTAGTTAATCTGCAACCACCCTATTTCCAAATAAGGCCATGTTCTTAGGTACAGGAGGTGAGGACTTAACATACCTTTCAGTAGGGGGACACAGTTCAATCCGTAATAGCATGCATTTATTGTAATGGGCACTTCTTGGATTTCCTTATGGAAAGTGATTCTTCTCTTCATGTTCATTGGCCATTTGTGTTTCTTTTGAGTGTCAGTTCTTATTTTCTGCTCCGTTTTCTATTAGTGGGTCTCAGTCAAGGCTCCCTTTATTGTGAGAGGCAGAAATGCAACTGAAACTGGTTCAAGCTAAAAGGAGAGTTGGTGGTTAACATAACTAAAGGGCCCAGGATACTACAGGCTTCAGGCTGAGCTCGACCCAGGCTCACACAATGTTTATCTGTTCTATTCCCTTTTTTCAGCAGCATCCCTCAGTTCTACTTCCCTGCCTTGGCTTTGTTCTCAGGCAGGCTCATTCCAGTTTGTAGCAAAGATGGTGCTATGCTTTGAAAGTGCCCCCCAAAGTTCATGTGTCAGAAGCTTGATCCCCATCATGGCAATGGTGGGAGGTGGGGCCTAATGGGAGGTGCTTGGGTCATAGGGGTACGACCCTCACAAGTGGATTAATACCATTATCTCAAGAGTGCGTTCCTTATAAAAGGACAAGTTTGGCCCCATCTTGCGCTCTCTCTTTCTCTCTCTCCCCCTCTCTTTGTGTGTGTGTGTGTGTGTGTGTGTGCTCTCACTTTCTCACTCTTGCCCTTCTGCCTTCCACCTTGGGATGCCGCAGCAAGAAGGCCCTAACTAGATGCCAGTGCCATGCTCTTGGACTTCCCAGCCTCCCCAGGACATCTCTGTTCATTATAGATTACCCAGACTGTGATATTTTGTTATAGCTGCACAAAGCAGACTAAGACAGGTAGCTAACATCCTACTAGTTCACCGTCTACAGAGAAAGCATATCTTTTCCCTGATAGTCCCAGCCACGGTCCCAGGCAAGCCCTTCATTGGCCAGGTTTATGTCATGTTTAATCTCTGGAGGTGAAGAATTTAGGTCAGCACACCCAAATCATCTGGACTAAGGGCAGGAGGGGGTGGTTTACTGGGGGCTATTACAAAGGAAGGAGCCACAGATTCCTTTGCACGGGCAAAATCAAAAGATGGGCCCCTAGTAAGGAAATGCTTATTTATTCTGAGAACTCTTTTTATATTAAAGGCATGAATCCTTTACCTCTTTCTTCCATGGTTTTTTCTTAGTTATTTGTCTCTGTGGGTTTTTTTTACAGGAGGCCAAACGCTGCCTTGTGAGTGTGGCATTCCTGGGGCACATTTGCCATATAGCATCACTGCATAATAACGTCCAACAGGAGCATATTGCCAAGACACATTCTCTGGGCGTGAACAAAAAAACAAACCTGTGGCTAGTACTTCAGTCAGTGAATTGGCATTCGAAAGCGTGTCGTCATTAGTACAGACGTCAGCGGTGAATGAGAAAGCAAAGAACCCGTGGCTGCACCTAATAAAAGGCCGGCAGGGAGATAAAAGCTACCGTGGTTGTGCAATGATGGGACAAAATGCCCAGGGTCACTGGTCCAGGTGCAGGTTTTGAGTCCTCACTCAAAAATGAGATAAGGAATGTGACTTTGAACTCATTAGCCTTTTGATCAGGCTATGAACTAAAGGCAAATAGAACAGGTGGCCTGACCCCTGCCAGAGACTGGCACTGCCTGCGAGGTAGGAGCTCCCAGGTGGGCAGGGACCAGAGGTCAGTGACTTGGTGCACCCTCCACTCATGGGGCCGGGCCGGCAGTTCTCCCTCCTTCCTCTTCTCCTCCCCCTCCACGGGGGAGATTCTAAAACCCCCAGGAGGATGTCCCTGGTAACACTGCTTCTCCCTTTTCACGTCAGGCCCCAAGCCCTGTTTAGATCCCAGGGTAACAGCACTGAGCAGTGGAAGAGCCCTTGCTACGTGGCCACCCAGCCGTGGGCCCAGGGAGGACGCGTTCCTTTTTGCACAGCTGGCCGGAGAAGCTGCTGTGCGTCAGGGCCAGGCCTGTGGCTGGGAGAGCAACAAAGTGTAGGGAGGGTCACGGGGCAACTGTGGCCCACGTTACTGCCCAGACGGTGCCCCCTGTCCTGGAAGGAGGCGTCCCCTCACAACCCCTGCCCAGGAAGGAGGTGTCGGGGCTGACAGCAGCACCTGGGAGGTGACTTGGAGGGTCTGGGGTTGGGGGGTTGACAAGGGCGTGAACAGTTGGGAGATGGGTGAATTAGAAAGGGGCAACCAAACAAGTCAAGCATCTTCCCAAATGTTTCAAGGTTTAAGAGGGCGTTGTAACACACAATGGTGTGTGAGTGTGTGTGTGCACATCCCTCTATGTGCATACATCTCTGTGCACACGTGTGCATCTGTGTGTGATGTACACGCTCACACATGTGCTAGCAGAGGAAGCACAGGGAGAGGCTCACAGGCCTGAGTGACGTCAGAGACAGGTATGGCCCACAGGGCGGTCTGGCAGAAGCTGGCCTGGTACTTGCCTGGCTCCCCGGCCTCACCCCCTAACCCAGGGTGCAGGTTCCAGCCGCCCTCTCTCCAGGGCAGGGCAGGACACCCTGAGTGCTCAGTGGGCTTCTTGGCCCTCAGTCCCCAGAAGGTGAGGGTCCCCATCCTCCTGGGTGCCCCCTACCCCAGCTCCTGAGCCACATGGTCATGGACTGGGGAAGCAGAGTCCAGACTCTAAGGAGGGGTTTCTTTGTCATCTTCCAACTCAGGACCCTTGGGCCAATCGGAGCAGCTCAGCCTCAGTTTCTCTCTTCTTCATCTCCTGTGTACTTGAGGGGCCTCCCGAGGGCTGCTCCCTTCCCAGATGAGGCTGAAGTAAACCCTGTCATACAGGTGGGTGGGTCCCTGGAGGGGACAGGCCATGCTAAAGCCACCAAGCCCCCAAAAGTGCGAAAGGATGAACAGGAGGGCGGCGGGGCAGAGCTGGGTGCCTTGGAGTGGGGTGGGGGCTGGATTCGGGGGTGGGAAGAGCAGAGCACCTTCCCTGCACGGGGAGGGTGCCCCTTCCTCTGCACAGACCCGCCTGCCCCCTCCACTCCGCGTGGCCCAGGGGAGCCAGGCCTGGAAGGATGTCGTGGGCGACGCTAGCTTGGAGTGACTCCTTTTATGGGGAAACTTTGGAACTTCATCTGAGAAAGCCTTGTGCTAACCCAGGGCCCCGCCTCTGGCCAGGGCAAGACAAGGAAGCCATCCACAGTCTTCAAGACTGTTGCTCCCGGGACGGTGCCATTTCCTGTGGGAGCTTCAACACTCAGAACTCACCCTGGCATGCAGGAGGCTCACATGACGCCCTTGTCAAAGAAGCTGATGGGTGATTTAATTAGTGAACAAATGATTCACGAGCAAAGAACCAAAATCTCTCCGTGTGTGCCTGCATCTGTGCTTGCGTGTGTGCGTGTTTGTGTATGCTTGTGTGCACTACACGCAAGTGTGTGTATCTGTGTATATGTTTTCTTGTGCACGCCTATGGATTTGGTTATGTGCAGATATTTGCTTTGTGCACGTGGGCATGCGTAGGTGTGTGCATGTGGGTTTGCCGTATGCATGTGTGTTTGTGTTGTCAGGTGAATGCAGGCATGTACTCGTGTGTATGAGTTACTGTGTGCATGTGTGTGATTTTGTGAGTGCTTGTGTTTGTGTATGCGAGTTTGTGTGTACATGTGTTTGTGTGTGTGGATCCATGCGTATGCACGTGTCTCTGTGGGTGGGTCCGTGTGTGTGCACATGTGTGCTCTCCTTTAAGCTCACCCCTGGCCAAGCCTCTTGGAGCCCAGGGCTGCCCAGGAACTTTGTGGAGCATTTAGGGGTGTTTCAGTCAAGTTGGAAACAGGCTGGGGAGGGATGGATTTGTTGTGACCTGGAGGAGCGGGTAGATGACCTCACCCAGTTGCACACAGAGGGCGTGGGTTAGGCACCATGTACTTAAACTTGGCATTGAAGTAGAATGGACATTCTGGAAGGAGACGTGACAGGGATTTTCACCCCCACAAACGCTCACAAGGGAACTGCCCCCAGGGAGCTGTCCAGATACCCCTCCAACCCTCCAGTCACCCCCACTCCCCTGGAAGCATTATCCACTGCGGGCACTTTGTGTGGCCAGAATGGAGAACCCTGCAGCTTCTTCATGTGGCGTTTCCTCTGCCCACCCTCCCAGCTCCAGCTGGCCCGGTGCCTCCAGGCACCAGCCCTCAGCAGCACCACCCACTCAAGGGTTCATGACAGATGGGTCCAAGCAGGGAAAAGTGGACCCAAGGACTCTGAGCAGGAAGGGATTGAACACAGGGAAGGGGTATCACAGGACCCAGGATGGGCTGCAGACTCCAGACGGGCCTCCTGGGAGACTCAGGCACAGAGTGCCGCCCCACCAGGCACTGTCACCACGGCAGCCCCCCCGGAGCCGTGCCGGGAGCATAAAGCCACCAGGGCCGCTGCGTTGCCACTGCCTTGCACCCCCGGGAGCTGGGGAACAGACCCGCACAGCCGTGACCACCTGAAAGCCAGATGAGCCAGGGGAAGCAGCTGCGCCTGCAGCCACCCCCACTCCAGCACATGGAGAACGCGGCAGGACAAGCTGGTGTCTCCGTGGGGTGCCCCCGTTGTCCCCACGTCTCACATACACTCGCCTGATGGGTGGCCTTCCCCACATCCGGGACCCTGGCTAGAGTCTGAAAGGCGGCTGCCCACGTCCCAGCTGCCCCTGAGCAGGGAGGCCGGCAGGGGATGCACGGCGAGTTCTCTCAGTGGTCGGCCGGGCCCCAGCCCCCTGGGTGCTGCGAGGGGACCCTGTGAGCCTGCTGATGGCCAGTGAGCCGCGGTCCTCTGGTCCTAGCCGGCCTCGGGTCTGTGGTCCTCCGGGCAGGACGTGTCTGGCAGGCCAGAGGCGGCTCCTGTGTGCGCGGAACAGCCGCTTTTACAGGGGCGTCGGCTCGTGGCGCTGGCAGGGCTTCTGTCGCACCAGCCCTCGGCCCGCGGCAAATGCCGAATGCCGGTGCTGGGAACGGAAGTGGGAAATGACGGGGGGTGCGGGGGAGCGGCCCTGACTGGGACTGTACGGGGACGCATGGGGGTGCGGGCACTTGAGGGAGGAAGCAGCAGAGGGAGGTGTGTGGATGTGTGTGTGTGCGTGACTGGGGTGTGAGCGTGCCCACTGTGGGTGTGCCCGTGTGTGTGGCTGTGAGGCGTGAGTGCAGGCGTGAAGTGTCTGGGAGTGGGAGCGGGCATGAGTGTGTGCCACGGGCCTGCTGTTGGGTCCTTGGAGGCCACGGTTGCCCCTGAAGGGACTGCAAGCTCTTTTTTGATTTGTAGTTATTTGAGAAGTCTATACAGGAAGAAAATTAAACCGCATTTACTAAATACAATAAAATTACAGGAAGACAGAATTGTCCCCAAATTACAAACATGTGGCCCGAGTTGCTCCACGACAGCTCAGCCCCAGACCATGCAGTGGAGATGGCAGCCCCGAGCCCCGGGCCCATCTCCTGCTCCCCACTGAGGTGACACAGGACCCCTGTAAGGCAGGACCCCAGAGCCCCGCACAGGAGGGGGGGCTGTGTGGGGGGAGGGACCCCTGCCTGCTGTCCCTGCCCAGCCTGCGGTCCCGCCCCCACCAGGCAGCGGACCCTGGACTGCTCATGATCACGGCCTCACCTGGAAAGCTGCTATGGGCTGGTCTGAGCCTCTTCCCTCTTTCCGGGAAATCTGAGGCCCACCAGCAGCGGGCAGCAGGTCATGGGTATGGTCGCGGACTTGGAAGCCCAGGAAGGCCACCAAGGAGCAGGAAGGGCCGTGTCCTGGGATCAGAGTCTAGGCCAGAGACCCTTCCCAAGGCTGTCACCCAGGAGGGAGATGATGGGAAGTGACAGTGGGGCCCAGGCTGGAAGTGAGAGGGGCCGGGCCTGTGGCGGAGTAAGAGCTGGCTTGGAGTGGGCAGAGGCCAAGGCAGCCGGGTGGGCACCAGACTTGGGAGATGCTCGGCCTCGCACCGAGAAAGGGGGGGCGCTGGGGCCAAGTGCCCAATGCCCGGAGAGCAGGGCTGGGTCCTCAAGGGCCCCCTGCTTTTGGATGTTGTGCAGCCACTGAAGCTGAAGCCCAGTCGCCCCGGCTCCACGGTCCAGACTCCCAGCAGGTGGCCACCCCTGACCACCTACTCTGAAATCCAGGCACATCCTGGCACCACCCGGCCAAGAGCCCACATGGCCCCGGGGCATTCATCTCACTGGGCAGGGGCAGCCTCCGACCTCATCCCAGCTCAGTAGGTGCTCGCGGTGCCCTCCTAAACGCCAGCCATGAGCTTGAGCGAACGCCAGTGTGTCGTGAGGCTGAGCACAGCCTGGCCCCTCCACTCCGGCTCCTGGTGGCTGTCTGCTGTGTCCCCTATCGGGGAAGAGGTTTCTCTTTGGCCCAAGCCCACCTGCCCCTGCCTGAGGGAGCCCTCAGCCACTACGCTCAGCCCGTCAGAAACCTGAGAGCTCATGTCCACGACAGGGCCAGCCAGTGGGGAGAGGACCCGGGGCTCCCTTGGAGGCAGGGCACTGCTCGTTCCCGCGGCCGCTCGGCCCCGCCCGCTCCCTCCACCCCGATTTCCCACAGGGCTTGCAGGCATCGCCCCAAACAGACTCTGTCACCCAAGCCATGTGCCTGGGCCTGCCTTTGGGTGTGGATGGGGGGTGCCTGGCGGGGGGTGCCTGGCGGGGAGTGCTCTGAGTGCAGGAGCGGACACCCAGGCTGCCCGAGGAGGGCAGGGCGTGAGGACTGGGACAGCCGCACCCCTGCTGCTTGGCACGACCCAGTGAAGGAATGACGTCCGCAAGGGCCACGTGAGCTTGGGGCGGGCGGTGCCGGTGGAGGGAGAGGCAGAGGCTGTCAGCCTCTCCCCACCCCTGCCTCACGTGGCCACGCCCGACGTCACCGTGTCTTTCTTTGTGAGAGCTGAGTCCACCGACCCCACCTTGTTTAGATTAGGTTGGAAGTCACCTGGGCTGAGCTGATGGCTGATTCCGTCAGCAAAAAGAACTGTGGAACATACTGGCACTTGGGCCGGTGTGAAGCCACCCCCCTGCCATGAAAAATGGCTCTTCCCTGCCACAGCCGGCCCAGCGGGAGCCAGGTCAGGGCCTGGAGACACAGCGCCCCCCACCGGAGCCACTGCCCGGCCCAGCAGCACCTGCGGAGAATCCCACCAGCTCCCACGCCTCCCGCCGCGCCACCGCCCCGGCTTTCTGCAAATCCACCTTATGGAAGCCGGATAAGGTGAAGTCCACATATAACTAAAAGCGAGTTACTGAGGGTTACTTTCTTTGCAGAGTGGTTCCCCTAAAGGATTCCTTTAAACATGATCCGGTCAGCCAGTGCTCACTTACGTTCACCAAGTCACGTCGGTTTGTGGCGGCAGGAGCCCAGCGTGCCAGGCACCTGCGGGAGGGGAAGATGCTGGGTGGGGCCCTGCTTTCGACACTTTGCATCTTAAGCAGGTGAGCAGACAGGCACACATTTGCTCACTCAGTTCCTTGGGGTAGCTCTGATGGGCAGGGAAAACACACCAAGGGCCAATCGTGTGGCACCGACTCGCCGTCTCTCTATTGTATTTTATAGAAACGGTCTCACATTCGCCCAGGCTGGAGTGCAGTGGTGCAAGCATAGCTCATTGTAGCCTTGAACTCCTGGGTTCAAGCCATCCTCCCACCTTAGCCTCCCAAAGCGCTGGGATTACAGGCATGAGCCAACACACCTGGCCGGCACCAACTCTCAGCCACGCTGTCGCAGACAGCGGGGCCCCTGCTTGCTGCTGGATGTCACCTCCCAGCCCTGAGAGGCTGGGGATGGGAGCCGGCAGCACTCCTTTGCACAGAGCACCGCAGGAAGCACTGGAATCCGGAAAGAGAGAGGGTGCCGTGAGCAGACTTCCCGGCAGGCGTCAACCTCCTGTGTGGTCAGGAGTGCAGGCGCTGGGGCCGGAACCCTGGGCACTCGACCACAACCGCCTGGGCAACGTGGCCAAGTGGGCGCGTGTCCTGGGGCTCTTGCAACAAGCCAGGTGGCCTCAACAACAGATACTGATTCCCTTACAGCTCTGGGGACCAGAAGCCCCAAATTAAGCTGTGGGCAGGGCTGCACTCCCTCCAGAGGCGCTAGAGGGGGATCTTCCTTGTCTCTGGCAGCTTCTGGTGGCCCAGGCGTTCCTTGGCTTGTGGCTGCCTCCCTCCAGTCCCTGCCTGGCCCTCCCACGGCCTCGGCCCCTCTCCATGTGGCTCTCCCTGGGTTTTCTCTTCTCTTCATGAAGGCGCTTGTCCTTCACACCAGGCGCTGTGGTCCAGCCTGACAGCCCAGGACGATCACGCTGCCAGGTCTTGACCTGATTATATCTGCAAAGACCCTTTTTTCAAATAAGGTCATCTTTACAGGTTCTGGGACACAGACAGATCTTTCTGTGGGGACACCATTCAACAAAGAGGGGAAGCCACAGCCAGACCCCCCTCCGCTCAAAGGCTTGCTGTTTCCTATGTTGCCCGCCACACTCCGTGTCTATAGAGCTGGGACAGTGGCAGTGCCCACCTCAGAGGTCACCGTGCAGATTAAATTCATCCCTAGACACGAAGTGCTGGGTGCAGGCACAGAGAACTGGAAGGAAAGGTTTCCTGTGACCGTGTGCTCCTTCTGCCCTCGGCTCGGGGTCTCTGCTGTGCTCGGCGTGGGTGGTGATGAGGATGTCACTGGGTGCACAGCTGGCCCCGCAAGCTGCCCGGACCCCAGGCCTCCCCTCTTTCCAGCCAGGATGTTGTGTGCTCACAGCCTCTCAGGGCCACAGGTGCAGTGACTGCTGCTGCTGTGTGCTTATTTGCTGCAGAGACTCCACTGGGGCCAGGCTGAGCAGGACTCCCCAGACATATCCAGAGGTCCTTCGAGAGGGCCGCATGGCAGGCACAGGGTTGAGGGGCCTGGTGGCATGGCCACGGCTCACCTGGGAGCGCAGGTGGGAAGCCCCCACACCTAGCAGAGTGCAGCTCCTTCCCGCACAGCCACCTGCGCTCCTTGGCCTGACCCCGTAGGGCTCTCAATAAGAAACGGGGGCTTCCCCTCCTCCAGTCTCACCCTCAGTCTCCACGTTGTCTCCACCTAGCACCTCCTCCTCTGATGCGTCACAGTCACAGGTCCTGGTGAGGAGGGAGCCACGCCAAGCACAGCGGCTGGAACAGGGGCAAGTGGGTGCCCACCCCGAAGTGCAGGCAATGAACTTGTGCTGTAGCCCATGGTGAGCTGTGGGGCTGTTTGTGACTGCAGCGTAGCCAAGCCCATCCCGCCTGATGCGGCCTCTTCATCCAGAGTGGGGGTGACGTGCCAGCCCCCACCTCACCGGAATGCTGGGAGGAGCGTCTCCACGGAAGGAGCTCACTTTGTCAGCTGTAATGTGCTGTGACTATCGTGTGAGTTCCCGGGTCACTGTAACAAGTCCCACAGCCTGGGGGCTTCAACAGAGAGAGCCTGAATGGCTCTCTCACCATTCAGGAGGTGGAATCCAGGGTCAGGGTGCGGCTCCGCTGGCTCCTGAGGCCTCTCTCCTTGGCTCTGTCTCCTGCTACTGTCCTCACAAGGCCATCCCTCTGTGTGGGTCTGTGTCCTCATCTCCTCTCCGTATAAGGACACCAGGCAGATTGGGCCAGGGCCACCCCACCAGCCTCATGTTACCTTAACCACCTCTGTGAGGACCCCATCTCCAAGTAAGGTCCCTTGCGGAGGCATTGGGGCTTAGGGCTGCAGCATACAGATCTGGGGGAGACACACGGCCCCTAACAGTATCAAGGGTGGGTGGGCCCTCATAGGATAGGACAGCCGCCCAGTGGGGAGACACGTGGCCCCTAACAGTATCGAGGGTGGGTGGACCCCCATAGGATAGGACAGCCGCCCAGGGGGGAGACACGTGGCTCATAACAGTATTGAGGGTGGGTAGAGCCCGATAGGATAGGACAGCCTCCGGGGGAGACACGCGGCCCATGACAGTCTCGAGGGTGGGTGGACCCCCACAGGACAGCCGCCGGACATTTCCTCCTCTGCTAGTCTGAAAATCACACTGTCTTAGGCAGACAGGGAAGAATCAACATTTCCATGCCAGGCAGAGGCCCCCGGAGCGCAAAGGACCAGAGGATCAAAGAGCAAACGTCACCCTCAGGGTCTAACGTGCAGGTGGCAGGACCCCGGCCCTTCCTGTGTATCTGATTGTGGGTTTTGTCTCTGCCACGTGCAGGGATGGGTGCAGACTCCGTCCAAGGTCTTGGCAGGAAGAGAAAACTGCCACTGCAGAGGGGCTGGCTGAGGGGCTGGGATGGGGTCCCCGGGGCGCGGAGCTGCACACCAGCCCCTCGCACCTAGGCAGAAGGTCCATTGCCCTCTGCCCCGCAGCCTGCCCGTTCCCAGGCCAGCGAGGGCGCTCCCAGGCCGGTCTGCAGCCAGAACACAGCCCGTTCCATGTGCTTGTCCTCGGGACACATTAGGAATGAACCCAGGCCTCAGTCCTGGCCTCCTCCTCAAGGCTGGGTGCTCAGACGTCCCCCTCAGCCCCTTTCTCTAGACCTTCCGGCTGAACAAACGAGAACATCTCACAGCCCTGCAACAGCCAGGAGCTGCTCGTGGAGCTCCACGCCCGGCTGGAGAGAGAGGAGGCACCCTGGGCAGCCCGCCAGCACCCAGGCTCTCACAGTGGAAGCCCACGTCTTCTTGGGCTCTATTTTGAAAGCTGTTCTTTCCACGACGGCTTTGACAAGAATCGATTTGAGTGAGCCGGCGTGTCAATACAGGCCAGCACAGGACTGGCCTCAGGGCCACATTGGGGAGGGTGGCGACCAGGCCCTGGCTGCAGCCCACGTGGGCAAAAGCATGGCCAGGCAGGAGGTGGGGCCTGTGAGCTTGGCTACAGCGACCGTGGGCGCTGGGCCCGGGGCTCCTCAGCCCTGAGGGGAGACCCAGGCCCAGGCAGGCTCCCAGGCGGGCTCCCGGGCTCCCAGCCTTCCGATCTTCTCCCTTTGAGACCTTGCCTTCTGCACAGTGACAGGAAAGAGCCCTGAGTCCCACTTTGCAGGGATGTATTGCATTTCCAGAAAGTTCCTTCCGGGTGCAGAGTGATACATGAACCCTGGGGACTCACTCCAACTTGGTATTGATTTTCTCCACGGAGGACCCAGCAGTCACGGCCCGTGTCTGCACAGCCCCTTGGATCCTGCGGAGGAATTCAGCCGGCCCCTCCCCCTGTGCCGAAAACCACGGAGGCAAAGCCAGGCCAGGTTCAGGTTCCACGCAAAGCGCCCTCCTGTAGCCAAGCCCAGCCCCATGAGGTCAGGAGGCCTGGGTGGGGTCCCAGGTGGGGAGGCCGCCTGTGTGGGGTCCCAGGTGGGGAGGCTGCCTGTGTGGGGGCTCCCGCCAGCGCCCCTCCCCGCTCATGGAGGCACAGGGACAGCCATGTGTGCCCGCAGGACGCCTGGCTCTGCCCACTCGCCCCCACAGCATGCTGAGGAGCTCGGGCTTTGCTTTCTAGGGTACAGTGAGAACACGGGAGAGGACTGAGAGACCGCTGGCTGCCGAGGGAGGAAGAGCAGGATTCGCACCCCCGTCATCGCTGGGCCCACACGCCGCCGACAGCTTCCGCGTGTGGCCATCTGTCTTTCAGAAACCCTCTGGCAGAGGGACCCAGCAGATGACACGGGGGCCGTTCACACTCTGAAACCTGCCTGGAGTCAAAACACTGCTGGCGAGCCTCCACCGCAAACCCAATCCAGATGGTCTTCCCTGGTGGCCCTCGGGGTGGCGGGCACCCTGCCCACTCCCTGCCAGCCCCTGCCCGCTGGACTCCAGGCCCGGCCGAGCCCCCGACCGGTCTCCTGACCCAGCATGCTGCTCTCCCCTGGGCCCGGCTTCCTCGCCCGCTGGGACTCCCAGGCCCCTCCAGCCCAGCCCCGAGAGCAGGAGCCCCAAGGGAGGCTTGGCGGCTGTGGAGGCGAGTGGGCCACGTGTAGCTGGGAGGCCGGCAGGACCAGGAGCCCCTCACAGCGCAGCACCCACAGCATCACGAGCCACTTCCACTCCTGGGTGGCCTGGGGGCCCCCACCCTGCTCTGAGCTGCCCCTTGTTGTGACCTGGGGTCCCCCGTGGTGGGCCCGCCCCTTGCGCCTGGGATCCAGCCTCAGCGAGGCTCCAGAAGTGTCGTCTCCGCCGGCCAGGCGTCAGCGCCTCCACCCAGGATCACACACTCCTATCTCTGCACTTCTGCCCTCCATCCTGCTCCACGCCGCCTCTGCTTGTTATTCCAGCACATTCCAGGGTGATGCCTGCTGAAGCCACGCAGCCAGTGCCTCCACCCTACCCCCCATCTGACCCACCGGCCCCTTCCGCACGCTGGAAGCCTGCCCGGCCTGAAGTGTCCTCACCTGTCGCCCTATCCTCCCCTCCACTCCAGCCCACCGGTGACTCAGCCCTCACAGCTCTCTCCTCCCCGAGGGAGCCGGTGACTTGGCTCTGATGGTGCCGGGACCCAGCCCCGGCATGTTCAGAATCCTTGTCCTTTAACCTGCGTCCACATGTAGTCGCCTCCACCTCCCTGCCTGAACCTCCAGGCCCTGCAGAGCAAACACTGCTGCCTGCAGGAGACCCCTGGGGCCTTCTCCGTCCCCTCATCCTCCTAAGGAGCCTCCCCTGCCACCGTGCCAGAATGTGCCGGAGGAACAGAGGCCCGAGCCTCCCGTGGCCCCAGCGAGGCTTCCTCTGGGGAAGACAGTGAGCCCAACGCCCTGGCTCTCGAGGGGTGGACGGAGTCCAGCTGGCATCGACCGGGTGCCCCTCTTCACCGGTGTCCACAGTCCTTGAGAGCAAAGGTGGTCCCAGCAGTGGAGCAGAGGGCAAGGGTGGGGCATGTAGAGTCTCCAGGGAGCCACTGTTGGTTAGAGAGGGAGCCCGAAGTGGGCTCCGGACCCCAGCAGGGACAGCGTCCCCTTCCAGCGGGGGCAGCCGATTGATCTGGGCACACGAGCAGGAGGAGCGGCGCCACCCAGGGCTGACCTCACGGCCCTGCTCACGTCTCGGGGCATTTTGGCAGACCCACCTAGACCTGGGGGACAGCCTGATTTCCTGCAGCCATGACCTACAAGGGTGGCAGCTCTCTCAGGCTTGAGTAACCAGGACACAGACCTGGGCCATTTAATGCGCAGGCAGCCCCAAGTCCCGGCAGGGCCAGAAGCAGAGACGGCGGCTGGGGATGAAAGTGCACGCTGGTCCCAGATGGGGCTGGGGGTGAAAGCTGCATGCTGATCCCTGGGCCCCCTCACTCTATGAGCTCCTGAAAGGAGGGAAGCCCCCACACCCTACTGAGTGGAGTGCTCCTTGGCCTGGGACCCCGTCCAGTGTCTGCTGCTGTGGGGGCGGGCTCTGGGCAGAGAGAGGCCAGACAGGCACCCAGGAAAGCTGGAACACATCCCTCCTGCTTCCCCCAGGGTTCCCAGAGGCGACCTCCCTCCTGCACAGGCATTTGTCATCCTTACCCTCTAGGACAGCTTTGCCATGTGCAGTGAACCCCTGGACAGTGTTGCGTGCCACTTTGCCGGATTTGGACTGTATACAGACCGAAGCATGTGGCATGAAGCCTTCTGCTGTCAGCAAGTTCCTTGTCCCTCGACAGTATGTGCCCAGGCTGCCCTTCAAGGTGGCAGTGATGGCAGTTGTCTCTTGCACGCTGCGTACAGTTCTGTCACTGACTCTTACACACAGCCCTGGAGACGGGAGAGTGCCGGGAGCATTCTATGCAAGTGTCCTGGCCTTTGCGGGCGTCTCCACAGCACAAACACGAGTCAGGGACCACCCCTCTTCTGCTTCCATGATTCCACCAACTGGGTGGGGCAGAGCAGTGCCAGGGCCGGAGGCACGCCCCAGGTGAGGGCAGGTGGCCATGCCAGTGAGTGCACTGCGTTCTCAGTTAATTCATCCGAAATATTTCTAAGTTTCTTGATTATTGCAGTTGCATCCCCAAGATAATGCCGCCCTCACCAAGTAGAAGGCACATGTGCTCTGATGGCCCCTCCCACACTGGGGTCAGGGCACAGCAACTTAGCGAGGCGACGTGGGGGCTCAGAGGACCTCGGACCAGGCTCGGCACATGGGGCTTCTCCAGCCAGCCAGGGGGAAGCACCCTGCAGACTGCTAACTTTTGCAAAATAGAGTAAAAAAGATCAGCTAGAAAAATAAAACAAAAAAGGAAAGATATACAAAATACAAGGCCATTTATATTGTTGCATTTAACAGTCATCAACTCACTCCGTCTGAGGGGCGTTGGCATCTGTGGACACACTCAGTGCCGAGGTTTGTCCCACTGCGGGCAGGCACAAGCGGCTTCCTGGGGGCTGGCCCTCGCCTGCTCTGCGTGGCTGTGCTGCATGGGACACTGAGGCACCCGTCGGCTGCTCACTGCCTGGCTGCATCTGTGAGGGAGGAAACGAGCTGGGTACCAGCTCAGCCTCTGAAGACCCCACGGGTGCCCTAAGCTGTGATGTCTGTCCCCAAAGTTCATTTTGGGTGGGAGTGCTGGGGGTGCAGGGACAGAGGGTTCCAGCTCACCCAGGGCCAGCCCTGACCAGACGGCAGGAACCAGGGTCTGCGGCTGGATGCAGACGGCAGGCAGATCATTCTGGGGAAATCCCTTTCTTAAACCACATACTGTCCTGGGCTGAGCAGGCCCCCCTAAAAACTCATGTCAACTCAGAACCTCAGAATGTGACCTTATTTGGAAATAGGGTCTTTGCTGATGTAATCAAGTTAGGGTGAGCTCACACTGGAGTATGGTGGGCCCTCATCCAATGACGGCATCCTTGTAAGAAGAGGGAAGTCAGCCCCACAGATGCAGGGAGGACAGCCACGTTTCAATGGAGGCAGAGACTGGAGCCACACAGCTGCACGCAGAGGGACGCCCGGGGTCACCAGGAGCTGGAAGAGGCAGGGAGGACCCTCTCCTCGGGCCTCCAGAGTGGGCAGGGGCCTGAGGATGCCCTGATCCCCAATTCCAGTCTCTAGAGCTGTGAGAGGCTCAGCATCTTAGCTCCCCAGCGTGTGGCCTCTGTCAGGGCAGCCTTGGGAGCTGAGCCTGGCCCCTAACTCTCAGGAGCTCTCCCACAGACGGGGTTCTGCATCTCCCGAGCACGTCCGAAGCCCCCTTTCCACAAGGGCCACTGCTCGCCAGGCTGACGGTGACCGCCACTTCCCTAGGGACCCACCTTCTGTTCCCAAAGGCCCTGCCTGACACCTGGCCACTCAGCCCCACCCCGCCTAGCCTGCACGCCCCACATGTCCACGGGGTCTTCTCTGAACGGGCCTGGCCTTTCGGTGGGGAGGCGAGGACTCCATTTGAGGGCTGGCCCCTGATTGCTCCAGCATTTCAGTGACATTGTGCCCCAGGCCGAGGGAAGACTCTGGAAAAACTTCCCACCAAACTCCTCTTCTGCAGAGTTGAGCTGACAGGAAGTCTGTAACTTTCCTGCAAAACGTTATTCTACCCCCGCCAGGTGAGCTGAGATGGCAAAGGCTGACGACAAGGGTCCCGGGAGTCCCCACAGCTATGGGGGAGGGTAACTGGCCCCCCCCACCCTGTGGGGAATAGCAGCAAAGCTTCACACAACCCCCAGGGCCAGTGTCTGCTGCTGAGCGCAGGTCCCACCAGAGCCAGCACGAAAGCCATAGAAAGACAACCTGAAGTCACCAGTGTCCCTCGGCAGAAGGAACAACCCGTGGTGTCTCCCGCTCCCTCCCTGCACAGCCATGAAAAGAAAGGGCCTGTGTACTCTAACAGCAGGGAGAACACAGTCCCCAAGACCCCCACAGGCTGGGAAGTCAGAGATCACAGGAGAGGTCACCTCTGGGGGTCATGACTCGGGGGAGTCCCTGGGGGGGACCAGGGGTTCTCTGTGGTTCTGGCGTGCTCTTGGAGGGACTCACTGACACGCACGGCGGTTACACGGGCGCAGACACGCAAAGACCTGAGCACGAGATAAGATTTGTGTCTTTCGTGGTACGTCAGCTTTACCCCATTTTTAAAGACTTTCAAAAATGTTATTCTGGGCATATGCTTTGAACAGATTGTAACCCCACCCCAGAAGGAGGACCTTGGATGTGGAGCTGGCAAGCTGGAGCCGCCCAGGGCTGTCCGTCTCCCTGTGGCTTCTTCTCCAGGAGGCTCCCGGGAGCAAAGCCGAGTCGGCAAGGCCATCCGCCCGCTGAGCAGGTGTTGGCTGCCTGGGTGGCACTTCCTGTGCTGAGGCTCAGGGCTCTGAGCCCTCATGGCACATAAGGTCTTGAGGACAGTGACCACACAGCCCAATCGGCCGGGCAGGTGGACTTAGGAGGGAGAGCCGGAGGCTGCAGAGTGTGCTCCGAGGTACCCTCCGCCTGGGACTGTAAGAACAAAGAAGGCTCTGGGGTAAGGTGACAGGGACAACTCCAGCAGAGAAGCGGAGGGAGGGGTGGAGACAGCACGAGATGACCGGAGACCACATGTTGGGTAGTGCCGGCGGGGGGAACTATGGGAAAGGGATTGGGCCTGGCATGAAGACCCCCAGCCCAGCCCCGTGGGGGTCCTAGCAACCCCAGAAGTCCTGCTAAGACCCTGGCACAGACCCCACTTCCCTGAGACTCAGCTTCCCCATCTTTAAAGTGAAGCCTGGCGCCTGCCTGTGAGTGCGCTGAAAATCAGATGATGGCAGCCACAGAGGCGCTCAGCACAGCGCCCAGCGCAGGGCCGGGACCCAGAGTGGACTCTACCGTGGGGCTGCCTCAAAGAAATCTCAGCAAACACAGGAAGCCAGCCCACCCGTGCAGCCATGGGGCCAGGAAGCCCGCCCTTTACCAAGTCATTTGGGCATTTTTTCTCTGTGCTAACAGCCCAGATGGAGCCATAGCCTCAACCTCTGTGTTCTGATAACACCAAGCTGGGACGCCGGAGCCATGCAGGGGACAGTGCCCGGCCTGAGGCTGCAGCCTGGGTCTGGATGCCTTTCTAATTCAGGGCCTCCTCATGGCCTGGTTCCATAAATGGTCAAATGCAGCCTGACAGCGCAGCCTCCTATCAGCGCTGGGCTCCGTACCGCCACACAGCCCACATACCCCGTTCCCCAGGAGACGCCCGCAGGTGGGCAGCGTCACTCCCACCCGCCGAGCACACGCTGTCCCCGTCTCGTGTCCCGAGGAGCCGGAAGCAGCTGCTTCCTCCCAGCCTGAAAGCTGCACCTCGGGCTGCACTCGGCTCCCCGAACCCGCCCTCCGCTGCCCTGCAATTCGCCAAGGGAGCTACCCTTCCCATATAAAAATTTCACCTCCATTTCCTTGTAGAGAAGAAACATTTCTGACAGCAAGGAAGATTCTAATTTGAAAAGCAAGTGATTCATCTCCCGGTGCCAAACAGCAGACGCAGGCGTTACCAGTCTGGGTGGGGCGCCCGAGCTGGGGACCTGGGGTCCTCTGGGAGGGGCAAGAAGGCAGCGATGCTGGCCCCCGCCTCCATCTGCCCATCCCATCTGCTTCCACACACCGCCCTGCCGTAGCTGCTTGCAGCCCTTCTCTGTCAGTTTCTCCATCTTTTGGTTTGGTGATAAATGAGAGTTCCCATCGGGTGTGCCACCCTCTGTGTGACGGGGAGCAGAGAAGACCCTGCGTCCAAGTCCTCCTGGGGGAAGAGCGAAGATGCTGGGACCAGCCCCAGCTGTCAGGGGGTCTCCAATCCCAGCAGGGAGGCCCCACGCATGGCTAGGATGCCCCAGACCCCAGGAACTGAAGGAAGTGGAAAGGAGGGCCCGCAGTCCTAACTAAGGGTTCAGACACCCCCCCAGTGCACATCCAGGCACGCCCCCACCCCCTAGGCCTGGTTCTAGGTCTGCTAGCTCCGAGAAGGCCCCTAACAATGACGCAGTCAGAGGGGCTGCGCTGGGCTCACGCTCAGTCCCACTGCCCCAGGGGTAGATCCGGCCCCTGGCCCACGCGCTGTGGAGCCTTGGAGTGTCTGTGCGCCCCTTCCTTGGAGGGCAGCCGCTGAGGGGCTGCTGCGGGACCGGGGAGCCTCCTGGCAGCAAGCACTCCCAATGCGTTGCTGGGACGCTGTGATGGAGACAAGATCCTGGCTTTGAAGAAAGCCCTTTCCACCCTGTCCATGTGGGGGTCTCCCGGTGCCCCTGAGCCAGCGGCCCCCTCCTGCAGGCTCCGGAGGACTCCCCTGCCTGCATCTGGTCTCGCATTTCCTCCGTGACCTCCAAGCTCCCACTGGGGGCACACGGCTGCCCCGCTGACCCCAACTCTGACCCTGTGCCGGTGGTGGGCAGCATCTGGCATGGGGGAGGTACCATTTCTTCCACACTCGCGCGTCCTCAGCCCAGATCATCCGGTGAAGTTTCCCCAGCAAGTGGCTCCCCCTGCCCCCTCCACCCTGCCAAGTGTGGTCCCTGGGCTCCCGCCTTCCCTTCTCAGCCTCTGCCCCTGGGTCTGGGGCATGCATCCAGCCATCCACGCTCAGGGAGGCCACCTCCTCCCTCGCTCTCAACCACCACAAAGCTGCCCGGGACCTTGTTCTATCCTTTCCAAAAGTCCTCAGGACCTGCCTATCTACGGAGCTCCCAAAACGCCCTGTGAGCTCTCCTGGGCCCCTCCTCTCCTTGCTAATAATGTCCCACATGGTGCTGCCTGCCTGGCCCCAAAAGAAAAGGACCCTGGAGTGAGTTCTGAACACAAACTCGATGAAAGTGGCCCCCTGCTCCACCTGCCGAGTCAGCCCCTCCTCAGACTCTCCCCTTGGGCAGGGAAACCTGCCGAGGCCTGACTGTTTCTTCCTGAAACAGCCTCAGGCTGGAAGGAGAGGGATCCACCCTTGGCCATTGAAGCATTCAGCAGGAATCAGCCCTCAGGGACCGAGACCCTGCGACCAGCCCCGCCCCACAGGTGCCGGTCCTGGGCAGCCTCCCTTGCTTAGGCCACACTGCTCCCAAGAAGCCAGGATGAGCAGCTCGCAATAGGCCCCCAACACGCAGAGTGCCATGCAGAGGACGGGGGCACCCCAGAAAACTGCAGACACTGCATGTCCTCTGGGAGCCCCGGCCCTGGGAGACGATGTGCAGTGGCTCCAGCTCTGACCTCATGAGCCCAAGCTCCGCTACACACTGGGTCCTGACCTGACCTGGGTCCCGGCGGCTCTCCGGCCAGGCCTCTCCCGGTGCCTCCCGCCCCTGAGGCCGGCACCCAGCATCCAGGCCCCTGTATAGTCATCCCCTCTTCAGGAATCTGGGTCATGGCTGCAGGATAGGGGCTACCCAGAGCAGGATGTGGAGGGAGGGGCCGCAAAAGCCGGAGAGAATCCACAAGGCACTATTTAGCCACCTGCCCTTGATTCTAATTCTCAGTGACGAGATTCTTTGCTTGGCCAAACTCTATCAGGCCCTTGAGCCTTCTAGGCCACCTGCACACTTCCTTGCAAAATCCGGTTTTAGCAAGAACACTGCTAAGTGACTTCAGCCAGAACTGCCCCGCCCCGTATCTGATCATCCTCGTCAGGGCAGCATGCTCGTCCTCTGGCACCCAGGTGATGACGGATGACCCCGCCTCCCTTCAGCCAGAACCCTCCCACCCCTGCTGTTTGTTCTTAGTGATGTTCCATCCGAGGACCCCACTCTGCTCCTGGGCTATCAAATCCCACTCGCTGGAGCCATATTCAGAGTGGAGCCTAAATCTCTCTCCACCACTGCAAAATCCCACTGCCCTGGTCCCAGCACCCACCGCACTGGTCCTGAGTAGTCCCCTTCCGGTCTTTAGCAAAGATCATTGAATAAATTTCCTTTCATGTCAGGCACACCCTTAAATGCAGACATGTGTGTCCTGGGAGGATTACCAACACTCCCCCGGCCCTGCACATCAGCTGTGGAAGGTGAGATTGGGAAGTGCTGGCCTCCTTGCCAAGGCTTCAGCCTCCATTTCTGCTTTTCAGGTCATGTTCGAACACTGGGGGTCCCAGGAGACCCACCCAGACCAGGCCCCTCTCAGGGTGGGAAGAGCGTGGAGCAAGAGGAGGAGGCTCGGCCCAGGACGTTGGCCACAGGCTGACCCGTGCAGGGGGCAAGGGCTTAAGACGGCCCCATCTTCCACTCCAAGTGTGGTCTCAATCTTGTTGGCCAGTTTATGAAAGTCAAGCCTACTGACTCAGTCAGGGTCTTGGCAGGAAGGAGGCCAGGGCGCAGACAGAGATAGGGATCGCTCCAGGGGTGTGTGGCCCTGGGCTGTGGGGCAGTCCTGGAGCACCTCCACCCCAGCCTGCAGAACACCCAGGCGGAGCAGGAGCAGAGCTGGGCTGTGTAGGGGTTAGGGGACACGGCCAGCCCGCAACCCCAGCTCCCCTCCATCTGCCTCCAGTTTCCAGCCAGGGCCCCCTCTGCCAAACCTGGCCCGAGGCAGGGGCCAGGGCTCTGTCTACTGGGGCCACAGGGAGGGTGGGGAGGGGGCCGGAGCTCCCAGGGCAAGGGGAGGGGCCACCCCCACCCCGTCACGCGCATGGAGGAGGAGGAGGAGCCCACACTGCCCCAGCGTCCACCCCACGCCTACACCAGCCCCACATGAGCTCGGGGGTCTCTGGGGGTCAGTGTCTGCAGCTACAGATGTGAGCACGCATGCGGGTGTGCAGGACCTTTGACCGCAGCCTCCCATGCACCCCTGGAAAGGTGCCTTGCCTCTCTCCCTCACTCGCCATGTGCAGGGCAGTGGGCGAGTCCCAGCCAGCATGGGCATCCCGCATTTCTCTGCTTCTGCAGCCCTGACTGACCATGGCCCCCCAAGTGGGCTCCAGCCCTCCAGGCACCTCCCCGTGCCGTGGTGCCCACCACAGGGCCTGGTCTCAGGGCTCCTCCAGGACTGGCCAAGTCCCCAGGCTCCTCCCCCACCCATGGGGGGAGAGGTGCACAGCACTGACGGGCCCCTGGGCCACTCATCTGAACTCTTGAGTCCTCCTAGAGCGGTGATCCCAGCCGGGCAGTTAGCTTGAGCGAGCCGAGTACTTACAGGATGTCACCAAACACAAGGTCCCAGCCCACATTCCATGACCTCAGCACTGCTCACGACGTCCTCCTGAGTCCATGAACTTCTTGACGGTTCTCATGGCCTCCTCCTGTGGACAGGGCAGGGCCGGCAGGTGAGGCACCTGCACGCACACCTAGCTCGACTCCCCAGGCCCACCCTGCAGACCCTCGGCCCTCTCCCTTCTTCCCACCCACCACTCTGGAGACGGGGCCTCCGGTCCTGGCCGCCCCTGTGGAAGAATGAGGGTGAGCGAGGGGCTGGGTCAGCAGCACGGCAGTGGGGGAGCCACCCAGCCTCCTGGAGGAAGCGGCCGGGCAGCGCTGGCACCGTTCCACATCCCTGCTGGAGCAATGGGGCCAGCGTGGCCGCCCCACCCAGTCAGTGGTCCCCACCTGGCTGAGAGTCCCCAGGAGGCAGCACCCTCTTCCTGGGAAGTCAGGCAGGGTTCTATGCAGGAGCCGACACTCACAGGGCTACCACAGGCCTGTGCGGACCCCAAGAGCCAGGAAGCCGCCTGCCGATGGTCCCTCTTAGGGACTGGATCGCGGGCAGCTCAGACGGCACAGAGTGCTTCCGGGTCGCAGTGTCCTCATGTTGCGGAGGCCTGAGCTCCCTGGAGGAAAAGCAACACCTTCCAAGCCATGCGGCGGAACGCTGGTGAGGCTCAAAGCCCTGGAGGTGACAGCCCCCAGACAGAGGCGTGGACCGTGTTTCCCTGTCGGCCCCTCCTCCAACCCCTCCACCAACCGCTCCGCCAGTGGCAGGTTTCCCACCTGTCTCCCAGCCCCCTGGAACTCTCCCCGGGCCTGCCTCTGGCTGTTTGCTGGGCCCCCCGTGGGAGCAGCACAGCGGCTGAGTGCCTGGGCGTGGCCCTACTGCCTGTGGGTTTCCAACGGGAATTTAGAGTCTGAAGGCTGAGGACCCTAGGGGACCACCCATTAGGGCTGAGGGCTCTGGAAAGAAGTTCAGGACAAAGGAGTTTGGGGAGAGCGCTGGGCTCATTTTCCTGGGGCAGACAGAACCAAGTGCCCATCACGGTGCAGCTTGAACAGCAGGCGTTCGGCGCCTCTCAGTTCCGGAGGCCGGGGGTCCAAGGTCATGGTGTGGGCAGTGTGAGCCACCACACCCAGCCCAAGTCCTTTATACATCTTCTCAGGGGGTCTGTGTCTTAAACAGGAAATATTCAAACGCCCTTTCTCTAACTGAAGTAGGTTTTCAGATTACTTTTACGTTTATAAGATATTGTGGCTACTGACGGTTTATTTTTTGCAATTATAACCGGCCCACTTTCCCGGGGTCTCCCTACACGTGCGGGGCGGGGGAGAGACTCCAGAGGGGGCTGCGGGAAACACAGGGGAGGGAGGCCTGGGGCTGGAGACGGCGGCCGCTCCTCATGCGTCAGGGGCCTCTTTCGGGCCGCCATTGCCTTAGCAGCGCCAAGTTCTTTCTGGGGCAATCGCCGCTGTTGGTTTCATCTCCCAGCACTGCCCATTGGCCGCAGCACCTCCTGCCCCCACGGTGCACTCCCTTCTGCGGTCATTTCCTTCCCTGGGGTGGAAGCAAGTGTAGAGCCAGCTCTTAGAGAGAGGCAGGCCAGCCATCTGCAGAGTGGGAACCCTCCTGGGCCCCCTTGCCCTCCCCACGTCCGAACCTGTCCCGTCCCCCATGGGCCCGCGCCCCCGCCAGCAACGGCATCCCACACTGTGCGCCTGGCCGTCTCACACACCCCACACTCTGGGCTGACCTTCAAAGGGAAGCTGCTGTTTAAATATTTAATCGTCCTTGGAGTGCCTGGACTTAATCATTAAGACCCTGAATCAAAAGAGGAAAAAAAGCATTTTAAAGATGACTGAAGGCCGGGTGCAGTGGCTCACGCCTGTAATCCCAGAACTTTGGGAGGTCAAGGTGGGCAGATCACAAGGTCAGGAGTTCGAGACCAGCCTGGCCAACATGGTGAAACCCCGTCTCTACTAAAAATATTAAAATTAGCCTGGCATGGTTGTGGATGCCTGTAATCCCAGCTACTTGGGAGGGTGAGGCAGGAGAATCACTTGAACCCCGGAGGCAGAGGTTACAGTGAGCCGAGATCACACCACTGAACTCCAGCCCGGCCAACAGAGCAAGACTCTGTCTCAAAAAAAAAAAAAGCAAAAAAAACAAAAACTAAAAAACTAAAAAAAAAAGATGGCTGAAGCCTGTGAAAACACTGGGTTAGTGATGCTTGTATTCTCAGCCCTGCAGGGCTGCGGCACCTCCACCTCCGGCTTGGCCTCACACTGCTCCCGGGGTGTTCCCTTTGCTCTGGAGGCAGGGCTGTGCACCAGCCAGGCCTGAGACCCTGTCTGCCCTCCAGGACCTGCTGACCCTGCTAGATCTTCGGTCCTGCCTTGCCCAGCGGCCGACTGAACAGAGCCCCTGTGGGCCCTGCATGGCCACCAGGGGGCTACTCCACGGTGGGGTCAGGGGGCGAGCGTCCCCCTCCCCGTCTCGGGGAGGGACGCAGCTCCTGGCCTGCATGCGCCCACCATGGACGGGGAAGGAAGGGGCGCCCCCTTCAGTGTGTGAACCCCCAGCAATCCCCTCTGCGGGGACCGCATGTTTTCTATACAGAAAGAACTTAGCTCACCAGGGACATTTTGCTGAAACAGCTTGTAAAGGATGGCGCCTGGCTGGTGCCTCTGCCTGCTATGGGGTGCGGGAGGCAATGTGGGAAGCTCCGTACTCTCTGATCGATGTATCGGTAAAATGAAAACTGCTCTAAAAAGTAGTCTTTTAACTTAAAAGAAAAAAGGAGAATAATTAGGCCAAGGGCTTGGCCATTTTCTGAACAAGTCTAGTTTTGTGGGTTTCCAGCTGCCTCTCTGAGTCTCCTTCTGGGCCCCTGCAGACACAGCCCCCTCCTGGGGTAGGGGTGACCTGCCCTGAGCAGTCTGTGCCCCGGGCTCCCAGAGCTGCCAGTGTGTCCAGGCTCTCCCCAGCTATCCGACTCCTGGGGAGCCTGCCAGGCCGGCAGTGGGTGGGTATTTGCTTGCATTTGCTTTGACAAATCGCCACTCTGTGTGGAGGTGCCAGGAGCGTGATTTACTGGGTGTGTGATGACTACGGCTCCCGTAGCCAGGCCTGCCCATCAAGCAGTGCTTTTGGCTTTCAGTGAGGGGTGGACTTTGCCGCGGGGGATTGCCGGCTAGCTGATCAGGACCCCAAGTCCTAAGAGGCACCGTGTCCACTCCACCTGCCCACGGGAGCTCCGTGCCCAGCGGTGGGCCCAGAGGGACGACGACCTCCTGTAGAGGGGGCCCCCACCAGTCCTAGCAGCCAAAGGTGCTCGAAGAGTGAAAGGACATGCCACACTGTCCTCCTAACAGCAGTGACCAGGGCAGGAGAGCTGCTATTTCTGGCCTACGGCCCATTTTTCAGAGTCAATTCATTTTCTAGGCAGACACACACATTCCTACAACTCTTTTCTCCAGATCATTCCTTCAGCCAGCTGGTTCTCCACCGGGATTCCAGGAAAGAATGAGGCCTTGCAAAATGCTCTGAATGGCTGTTCCCACCAAAGGTGGTGGGAGCCAAGCCCTTTCCAGGTACAGAGGGAAAGAAGGTGGTTTCGTGGGGTCTTGGCGTCAGCTCCACTCCCTCCCAGATCACTAGTGCGAAGGGACATGCCAGGCCTCTCCTCTAGGACAAAAACTAGTGTTTCTCTTGGATTCACTGAAACAAGCTGGGCTGCCCCTTCTTACAGATGGGGCTTGGGGCCCGTGGAGGGGAAGGGCCTGCGAGGTCCTGTTGGTGATAACCAGGCCAGCCGAGAGCCCGGGAAAGGGCCTGTCCTCAGTCTGTGCCTTGGTGTCCTCCCACCCAGCCACAAAGGGACTCACTCAAGGTCACAGGGCTGCAGCGGGCTGCGTTCAACCCAGTGGCCCCCACACACTCCTTCAAGGACCAGCATCCCATGCCCAGCTTCTGCCACTTCCTCTCTGGGCCTGTGCCCAGCAGCAGGACAACCCTTGCCACAGGCAGAGCAGCCCCGCACTCTAGTCCATTGAAAAGCCTGGTGAGATGCCAGGCCAGGCCATGAGCGCGGAGCCTGGTGGCGCGTGTCAGGAGGCGGCGGTGGCAACCTTGACGGTGGTGGTCCTGACTCAGGAGTCTGACTCACAAGGACTCCAGAGGAAGCAACTGACAAAACGTGTCTCCCGACGGGAGGGTGGCCCAGCTGTGAGGGCGTCTCCACCACCTCACCATCATCGTCAGAGCCACAGGATTTGGGGGACAGAGGAACATGGTAGACGACACTACAGAGACAGCCAGCAGAACCCAGAGTGTCGGAAATTCTACAGGACAAACAAAGGACCAGGTTTCTTCAACAGATAAACGATGAGTGATGTGTGTGTGTTGGGGGGGGGTGGGGGGGACGGAAGCTCTGGGCATTCCGGAGGGACTTCAGAGTCACAGAGAGCCTTGGACTTCGTACTCAAACAAACCAACTCTGAAAAGACAGGAGACAACCAGGGAAATTTCAACACTGCTAGCAGATTATCACAAAGAATTCAAGGGTCGTGTTTTAGGTGTGATAACGGTAGCACAGTTATTTTTTTTGGAAGAGTCCCTATTCTGTACAGCCACGCACTGAGGTATTTCTCTGATGAAATAAGGTCAGGGATTGCTTTAAAAGACTCCAGGGAGAGGAGGGGTAAGGGGCAGTGGATCGGGGGAGGGAAGAAGGCTTATAGGTCAGATGGGGCTGCCATGATACTGCTCCCTCTCAAGTTCTTGATGTTTAGAAAAAATGTATGATAAAAAGTTAAAGGTATATGGCCAAAAATTAACAATAATCACAAAAACAAGCCTGTCCTTACAGTGAGGCCAAACTCTTTCCTGTCTTCTAACTCTAGCCCAGGGGTCAAAAACAAAGGGAGGACCACAGGCCCCAGGGAGGCGCAGGAGGAAAATATTAATACTGTCCTTTCAAAATCTCATCTTTTAAAAGTATTTAAAATGCCCATATTCTATAATCTATGTAATATTTTACTATTAGCTAGTCCATTTGACAAGTGTTAAAAAATCAATGTATCAGGCTAGGCGTAATGGCTCACACCTATAATCCCAGCACTTTGGGAGGCTGAGGCGGGCGGATCACCTGAGGTCAGGAGTTTGAGACCAGCCTGGTCAACATGGTGAAACCCCCGTCTTTACTAAAAATACACCAATTAGCTGGGCAAGGTGGTGTGTGCCTGTAACTCCAGCTACTCAGGAGGGAGGCAGGAGAATCACTTGAACCCAGGAGGCAGAGGTTGCAGTGAGCCAAGATCGCGCCACTGCACTCCAGCCTGCGTGACAGAGTGAGACTCCGCCTCAAAAAAAAAAAAAAAAAAAATCAATGTGTGTACATGTATCGGGAGTGTGCACTCAAACTTTTGATTGTTAAAGGAGGGTTTTCACAAAAGCTGGGAGACCACCCTTCTAGAACCCTGCCCTTGTAGGTCCAAGGCTACGCGCCCTGGCAGACTTCCATGAGCTGCGACCACCAGCCACCAAGACGGTGTGCCCAGCCAACCCTGGTCCCCAGCTAGCTCTGACCCCTGCCCTGCCAGCATCACCCTGAGATTCTTCTGCAAATTACAGTCTTCTCAGACTGTCTGTCGACCCTGGGGTCTCAATGCTGGGTTCTCAACAGGCAGAACCACAGGGCTGCATTGCGGGTTGTCTTTGAAAAATGACCTGCCAATAGAAAGTTGGGGACGAAAGCCCTCCAACAGTCTGTCCAAGCGACCCCCAAGAGAAACCACAGTGGGGTGCTGGAGGGTCCCCAACGAGGCACCCCCCCCCCCGACCACCCTGCTGTTACTTCCACCCACATCGAAGTCCTAGGGTCTCTTCTAATTTCCTACTTGGCCGTGCCTGAAATGCCACTTCCAAAACCCGCATTCCTATGGTTGCAGAGGCCACAAGGGAGGGCCCTCGTGGTATTTTTTCAGGACCCAAAACCACGAAGATGCCAAGAATCACAACTTTCACACAAAGGACACACTTTCTTTGATGGAATCTTCAGATCACACATCACAAAGGCAGCACGCCATCAGTCTTTGAAATGTCCCAAAACACGTAAAGAATGTTCCGCTGCAGATCCGGCTTGTTTCACGGGTGTGTGGCCTCCTCTTCCGAAGTCATTTCATTCTTCGGGGTCTTTGACACGCTCTGGCAACAAGCGCGGAGAGGTGAACGGGGCAGCGTTTGTGCTGAGAGTGGGCTGAGAGCGCCGCCCTGCCCACTCCGGCCTGGGGCATCCCATCTCTGCCAGGTTCTGGGCTTTGCATTTTCTTTTCATTTCATTCTTCCCAGGCAAGAGCACAAGGAAACAAGCAGAAGGAATTCAGAGAAACAGCTCCAGGCTCCAGCTCAAAGGCCGACACCAAAAGCGAACACCTCTGGGCGCTCTTGCCTTCAAGAAGGTGGGGAGGCTCACAGACGCAGCATCCACCCCTCGCAGGGAACCTCAGTTCCTGGCCTGTGGTCCCATGAAGGACATCAGGCTGGCAGATTGGAGCACACCCCTTCTTTCTAACCCCTCTTGAAAGCTTCCTTGAATCTGCCAGTCCTGCCCCCTGGAGCAGGAAGGAAAACAGAAGGCCTAGGACGCTAGAGGGGTCCCGAGCTTTCCGGAGCTCCAGCCACCATCAGGTCTGACTGCTCAGGGACAGACACACCGACCACATCCTGACCTCAGGATGACCTGCGGAAGTACTTGGCATTTCTTCTTAGCCAAATCCCTTCATTAAAAGACGGGTGAGGGTTCCAGCGCTGCCCTCTTCCTTCTCAAAACTCTTATTTCAGGGCTGAAGCCCAGACGTCCAGCCCGTCAGAAATCCCCTTAGCCTGAGCTTGGCACCCAGAAGCTAGAGAGTAAATGCACAGGGGCCGGGGTCTGAGCCCTTCCGCAAGATGGGGATGGGGGCCACAATCCACACACACCACACCACAAACCACACACCACACACACACCATATATCACACACACACACACACCACATATTACACACCACACATATCACACTACACACCTCATACCACACACCATATACCACACACACGGCACCAAATATCACCCACACATCACACAACACATACTTCACACATACACCACATACCCCACACCACACACTACACATCACACACCTCACACTACATACCTCATACACACCACACACCACACACCCCACATACCTCCCACACACACCATACACACACACTAGATCTCAAACATAACATACACCACATACCTCACACCCCCCCGACACTATACAGCTCACATATACACAACACACACCTACCTTACACACATGCCACACACTCCACATCCCTTACACACAATCAGTATATATCACACATACACAATACATTCCTCACACCCCACATACCTCACACAACCACATACACTACACACACATCGCACACTACCTCACACACATACTGCATACCTCACACATACATTTCACACACACCACACACCTCACACACAGTGCACACACACCACACCCCTCACACGTTTCCTTGCAGAGCCGTATTGTGTGTGTGTGTGGTGTGTTCATGTGTGTACTTGTGTGTATATGGGGTGTGTGGTATGTTCGTGTGTGTACTTGTGTGTATATGGGGTGTGTGGTGTGTATATGTGTGTGGGGTATGTGTGTGTGTGGTGTGTGCGTGTCCTGCTCATGCAGAGTGTCCGCAACCACTTCTCGCCTCCTCTGTCCCACCCGCCCAACCCCCTGGCACTCCTGTGGACTATGACCCCCTGAAGCCACAAACCCCGAGCTGAGCTAAACCACTGCTCGAGGTGCGGGGTGCGCAGCACTCCACAGCCCGTTGCATTTCCACGTCGCAAATCCTCAGGGAGCATTTCCTTGGAGATACAAGAAGTGCATCCACGTGTTCCCAAGTCCTTTCGCTCAGGGAGTGCCGACTGGTGTCGGCCTTCCAGAAATGACTTTCTAAGCACTTCCATCCCACGCAGACCTGCTTCCTGAAGCCCAGCCTGGTCTCTCTGTGCCCGTGTGTCATCCTTGCCCACTCTTACATGCTGCGAGGCTGGCTGTGTCTGCAGCCGCAGCCATCAGAGGCCTGGAGGTAGCAGAAGCAGCTCTGGTGTGCGCTCAAAAGCTCCTTGCGGCTTGCTCCAGCCACTCACTTATCACCGTGTGGAGTAGAGGGTGTGTGTGTGAGTGCGGTGTGTGTGAAGCCACACCAAACTCATTCCCAGCCTAGGGAGTGAGCCTCCTCTGGCCCGGGCTTAACAAACTCTGGTCAATGTGACCCACGCAGACAGCAAGAGGAGGGACGTCCACTCGCACAGACCCACTTGACCTGGGTGCAGCTGACTTCCTAGTCTTCCCTTCTATGAAACGATGACTTCTGTGGCATGCAGCCCTGCCCTGGCCCGCGGGGACACGCAAGCTTGGGACCCAGGAGAGCAATGACACCGGAAGGGCCAGGCCCTTTGCTGTCTTGGGGGTGCCAGGCCAGAACTCCAAGTCACCAAGCAAAGAGGGCCCCAGAGTCCCCTGTGGTCCCCAAACCTGGCCAAGGTTAGAGTCACCGAGGGGCCTGGACAGATGCCAGGGCCAGCCCAGGCCTGCCACGGCGGGGGAGACTGCCGGGAGGCGAGGCTGGGAGTCTCATCATCAAGCTTCCCGGGGCTCTTGCTGGCATCCCACCCAGGGTTTTAAGGGACATTTGGCAGCAGCTGGACTCCGAGGGAGGGGGTTGGGGGACGACCATGCATTTGTTCTGGGAATGCTCTTGCATGTGCCCGCATTGCCCCTCATGTCCCCATGTCCATGCCAGGTGGACAGCGTGTCCACCAAGGCCCTGACTGCACAGCCAGCTGTGCTCTCGGGAGCATGCCACTCGGCCGGCTCTCCGGCCCTGACTCAGCTCAGGCAGGGGCTCAGCGCCCAGTCTGTGCTTGCAGGTCGTCGCTCAGGCCGGAGCCGAGGAGCTTCGCCAGGCCTGAGATACCTAGACAAGAAGTGCCAGCTCCAGTGCCTGGGGAGGCCAGGCAGGGACGTACGCCACGAGGGATGACGCGGGGTGGAGATGGTGGTGAACGCACAGAGTCATAACGCAGTGGCTTCCCACCTTCGCCATGTGGGAATGTGGCTCCAGGGAACTAGACTGGTCTGTGGCACTTCCTCTTTGAAAGGTAGGCCATTCCTCTAAAAGAGCTGGAGGCGTGGCAGGCCGGCAGCACAGGCACTAACAAGGCAACCAGCCACTGTCAGAGCACACCACACCTCTGTTCTCACCAACCTTTCAACTTACAGAAGAGGAGACGGCCTCGAGACCCAGTGTGCGTGACCAGTTCCACGTGCCACTAGCGCCAGCCGCCTAGAACTCCAAGAGAGGAAAGCAAGAGCTCCCTTGCCATGCGTTTGCTCAGAACTTTAATTTTTTCTCCTCAAGGAAAGTAAAAGAAACAGGTCTTCCTTCCACTGTGCAGGCAGTCAGCGAGCTCCTGCAGGTCCTGCTCTGTAAGCAGAAAGCTGGAGGCTGCACCCCAGATCAAGGCCCTCACACCTCAAAGGTTCTCACGGAGGCCTCGTCTCTGCCCCGCATCTCCAGAATGTGCTTGCTGGTCAGAGAAGAGTCCAGTGTGGCTCAGACAAACACAATCACCTTTCCCAGCAGCCAGGTCCATTCTCTGACAACATCCCACTGGGCACAGCCACACTGACTCCTGCTGCCACTGCAGCCACACCTGGGCCTCTCCTCCCCTGCACCAAGCATGGCAACCCTCTAGGCCATGGCCTCACCTGCCATTACCCCCTGGCCCCATTACCCCTGCCCCCAGCTCCGCATGTCAGGTTTGCTGCCCTGTCCTGCCTAGAACGCTCCGCAGGCTGCTGTCTCTGTACCCCCTCCTGCCGAATAACGACTGTTGGCGGCTCTGTGGGTTCATGTGCTTCGGAATTAAACCACAGGGCCTGCTTCTCATTGCCACTGATGCTCGGCTTCCAAGCCCCCATCGCCACCCACCAATGGCTATTCAGTGTCCGCAATGACAAGAACACCCTGGATACTCCCAGATCGGCTGGCTGTGATGGTGCTCACAGGCCCAGGCAAGAGCCAGCCCCAGATGGGCCCATAGTGCTGCTCTGCTTAGAGCCAATGCCTGCACCAGGCAGCTACCCTGGAGGTGCCCCTGTGAGTGGGCATAGGCAGGTACACCCCCAGCAGTGGCAGGTGCAGCATCTCGGGCAGTCGGGGGGCATCCGCACAGGCCTGGGTGCAAACTGCGGCAAATCCCATGATTCTGCATACAAGAAGGGTGGGGACGTGTGTTTTCCAGGGGAAATGGTCCCTGTCGTGCATCAGATTCTCAAAGGGGTCCAGCACCCAAACAAGTGCAGGGGTCACTGGGGGACACTGGTGCAACAGAAGCAGCCCTGGACTGGGAGTCGGGGCCCCACTGCCGACCAGCTCCACCCTAAAAACTCATCACTCACCCTCGTGTTTCCTAGCAGATAGTGGGAAGAGATGCAGGCCCATCGTGTGCACAGAGGTTCAGAGTGAGCGCACTGTGAGTGGAAACTGTCACGCAAGCCTCGGGCATGACGTCCTTCCCAGACATTCTTTCCCATCGGGCTTCTCGATCCGGGGTGTTGGTGCCTCCCAGGGGTCTGCGGCACCTGTGAAGCAGCAGCAGAGCCACTTCGTCATGGTCCACTGTGATGGTTAGCTCTGTCTCCTCCTGGCTGGGGCTGGGATGCATGACAGCTGGGGAGATATTACTTCTGGGGGATCTGTGAGGGTGCTTCCGGGTGAGATCAGCGTTTGAACTGGCCTCAGGAAGCCAGACGCCCCTCCCGGTGTGGGTGGAATCATTTAACCCAGTGAGGGCCTGACTAGAACAAAAAAGGCAGAGGAAGGGAGAGCTGGCTCTGAGAGCTGAGACTTCATCTCCTCCTGGGATCAGACAGCAGCGCTCAGCTCTCAGGCCTGCTGCCGTGGATGGAATTACACCCCAGGCAGAGGAAGGGAGAGCTGGCTCTCAGAGCTGAGACACCATCTCCTGCTGAGCTCAGGTACTGGCCTCAGCTCTCAGGCCTGCGCCATGGATGGAATTACACCCCAGGCTTTCTTGGTTCTCCCACTTGCAGATGGCAGCTCATGGAATTTCTCAGCCTCTGTAACTGCATGCGCCAATTCCTGTAATAATGCCTCTTCTCTTAGGTATCTATATCCATCTCTGTGTCTGCATCTCCTATAGGCTCTGCTTCGCTGGAGAACCCTGACTAGTACAGGCCATCTTCCTGGGGTACAGGCCATCTTCCTGTGTGGGAAGTCAAGGCAGGAGCAGAAGGTGGCTAAGTGAATATTTAACCACTATGCAACTATATTGAAACATATACACATCAAGGGTGGCAAGGGCAGGCAGGCCACAAGGATGGCTGCCAGAGGCCACCATGGCACTTCCCCCCAATACCAGGAGCAAATGATGGACTCGGCCATACCCTACAACCATCCTGGGGTATGGGCTGGAACCCCCAGGGAGAGGCGGGCAGCAGAAAGCCTGCAGGCCCCCAGCTTTGTACCATGAGAGGTGTGTGGGGCCCAGGTCCAGGTGAGCATCGTGGCTGTCCTCCAGGAGTGGCGCCTGGCCCGCTCGCTGCTCTCTCACTTCATGGTACTTGGGGAGGGGCAGAGAGCACCCTACAGAGACAACACTGGCTTCGGGACGCACCCACAGCCACCCAGGAAAAGCCTTGAGAGCACAATGAGATGGAGACCACAGCCCCCAGGAGAGAAGACAAAACTTGAGATCTGGCTCTGACTGAATTGACTGCCGCCAAAACAATGAACAGAAATCAACATTTTCCAGCAGATTTTAACAAGAATCTACACTACATAGTATTCAAGATGTCCACAATACAATTCAAAATTACTTGACGGGCCGAGCGTGGTGGCTCACGCCTGTAATCCCAGCACTTTGGGAGGCCAAGGCAGGCAGATGATGAGGTCAGGAGTTCAAGACCAGCCTGGCCAACATGGTGAAACCCTGTCTCTACTAAAAATACAAAAATTAGCCAGGTGTGGTGGCGAGTGCCTGTAATCCCAGCTACTCGGGAGGTTGAGGCAGGAGAATCGCTTGAACCTGGGAGGCGGAGGTTGCAGTGAGCTGAGATCCTGCCACTGCCCTCCAGCCTGGGCGACAGAGCAAGACTCCGTCTCGGAAAAAAAAAAAAATTACTTGACATACAAAGAGCCACAAAATTCTCAAGAGAGAGAGAGTCAACAGATGCTCTAGGTGCTGGAATTAGGTCAAGACTGGACAGCACCTGTCACAACTGTGCTCCACATGGTAAAAGAAACCACGAGTGAAGCAGATGGAAGGACAGAAATTCTCAGTAGGTAAATGGAAACTACAAAAAAGAACTAAATAGAAATTTCAGAACTCAAAGATATGATACCTGAGAAATTGTTTTTTTTTAATGGACAGACCTAATAGCAGAATGTCAGTGACAGAGGAAAGAATCTGTGAACTTATACATGGATCAGTAGAAAATTTCCAATCTAGACAATAGAAAGAAAAGTAAGACTGAAGGCCGGGCACGGTGGCTCATGCCTGTAATCCCAGCACTTTGGGAGGCCGAGGTGGGTGGATCACCGGAGGTCATGAGTTCGAGACCAGCCTGGCCAACATGGTGAAACCCTGTCTCTACTAAAAATACAAAAATTAGCTGGGCATGATGGCGGGTGCCTTAATCCCAGCTACTCGGGAGGCTGAGGTGGGAGAATCACTTGAACCTGGGAGGCGAAGGTTGCAGTGAGCTGAGATCACGCCATTGCACTCCAGCCTAGGTGGCAAAGCAAGACTCCATCTCAAAAAAAAAAAAAAGAAAAGAAAAAGAAGACTGAAAAAAATGAGCAGAGTCCAGGGACCTGTGGAATGATATCAAAAGGTCTAACATTCACGTCCTTAGAGGCCCAGAGGAGAGAAGAAAATGGTGCAGAAAAATATTTGAAGAAATAAAAGCAGAAAACTTCCCAAATTTGGGGGAACATATCAATTTACAGTTTTAATGAGCTCAGCAAATCCCAAACAGACTAGACTCAAATAAAACCATGCCTACACACATTAAAAACTGCTAAAACATAAAAACAAAGAGAAAAATCTTGAATGTAGCCAGAGAAAAATGATAGCTTACACACACAGAGGGAGCAGGAATTCAAATGACCCAGGATTTCTCATCAAAACCACAGAGGCCAGCAAATACACTGTGGAGGCTTGAACGCATGCAGCTAAGTGAAAACAGCCAGCCTGGGAAAGGCCACACAACTATACAACTCCAGCTATACAACTCTCGGGAACAGGCAAAACCATGGAGACGGGAAAAAGGTCAGTGGCTGCCAGGGGTTGGGAGGAGGGAGGGATGAATTGGCAGAGTGTGGAGGATTTTTAGGGCAGTGAAACTATTCCGTATGATGTTATAATGATGTCATTATACATGTCATTATATATTTGCCCCAAGCCCAGAATGTACAACACACAGAGTGATCCCTGTTGTAAAAGATGGACGTAGGTAGTAACAATGTATGGATACTGGCTCATCAGCTGTGACCCATGTCCCATGGCATGGCTGTGCTCATAACAGGGAAGGAAGCTGTGGACAGTGTGGGGGAGGCGGGTGCGGGAATTCTCTGTACTTCCTGCTCAGTTTTTCTGCAAACCTAAATCTACTTCTTAAAACTCTACTAACTAAACAGAAATTAGGTGCAAAATAAGCAGAGAACTTTTATTTTGTTTTGTTTTTTGAGATAGGGTCTTGCTCTGTCGCCTAGGCTGGAGTGTAGTGGCGTCATCTCAGCTCACCGCAACCTCTGCATCCCAGGTTCAAGCGATTCTCCTGGCTCAGCCTTCGGAATAGCTGGGATTATAGGTGTGAGCCACCACACCTGGCTAATTGTTGTATTTTTAGTAGAGATGGGTTCTCACCATGTCGGCCAGGCTGGTCTCAAACTCCTGACCTCAAGTGATCCACCCGCCTCAGCCTCCCAAAGTTCTGGGATTACAGGCATAAGCCACTGCACCCCACTAGCATAGAAATTTTTAAAACAAACAAACAAAAAAAACTGCTTAAACAAAACAGGGAGGCCAGAAGACGATGGAACAATACCTTTTTTTTTCTTTTTTTTTTTAAATTATACTTTAAGTTCTAGGGTACTTGTGCAGAACATGCAGGTTTGCTACGTATGTACACATGCGCCATGCTGGTGTGCTGCACGAAGAATGAAAGGAGAAGAAGTCACCACAGAATCCTACATCCAGTGGAGACAGCCTTCAGGAATAGAAGCAAAATAAAGACATTCTCAAGTAAAGGAACTAGAAGAGAATTGTCACCAGCAAGGGAAAAGACCCCAGGGGGAAACACAGCACTTCTAGAATGAAGAAAGAGAAACAGAAATAGCGGATACCTGGGTAAATAGTTTTTAAACTATTTTTTCTTTTAAGTCCTTTAAAATATGTATGACTATTGAAAGCAAAAAATATACCATCATCTTGGCCAGGTGTGGTGGCTCATGCCTGTAATCCCAGCACTTTGGGAGGCTGAGGCGGGCAGATCACTTGAGCTCAGGAGTTCGAGACCAGCCTGGCCAACATGGTGAGACCCCCTCTCTACTAAAATTACAAAAATTAGCTGGGCGTCGTGACGCGTGCCTGTAATCCCAGCTACTCAGGAGGCTGAGGCAGGAGAATCGCTTGAACCCGGGAGGCAGAGGTTGCAGTGAGCCGAGAGTGTGCCATTGCACTCCAGCCTGGGTGACAGAGCAAGACTCTGTCTAAAAAAAAATACACACACAGACACATACACACACACACACAGACACACACACACACACACACACACCCCATCATCTGGTGAGATTTTTAATGTTTGCAGACATGATACATGACAACTCACAGGCAGGGTCTAAGTGCTTCCAGCGCTTCCACACTTCACTCGAAGTCACAAAGCAGGATCTGCAGAAACTGTGAAAGGCTAGGTTTAGTATATTGTAATCTCTAAGCAATCACTTAGAAAAGATATACAGTAAAATAAAACTGAAAAGAGATTTAGCCAAAAAAGACAACAGATACATTAAAATGGAAAATGGTAAAATATTAAAATAAGAAAAGGGAGCAGAAGGGACAATCAAAACCAACCGTAAGGCCAGACCTCAATGTTACAGTTCACAACAATAGCACATATGCATCATAACCATCCCAGGACAGACCACAGTCGCGTATCAAGAGCGGCAGGACATAAGCCACCAGGAGCAGGAGGAAGGCAGAGAAGCCATGGTGAAGACATGAAGAGACAGCCACCTTCACCCCTAACCCTGTACCTGTGGGGTCAAGCATGACATCTGAGCCTCTGTCCCTGGACTAGGGTAAACAAGGGGATCTCTGGGCCCAGGAAGGCTGGGGGCAGGGGCTGTGAGGAGCTGAGGGGCCTGCAGGCCACGCTGCCCTGGCACCCCATCTGGCACCTCTAGGTGGGTTCCCTCTCACTCCCGGTCAGGGAGCAGCATCTGACAAAACACTCTGCTGCAGGCCTCGGTCTCCCCCTCTGCTGAACGTCAGGCGGGTGCTGTCTGGGGCCTCCAGATGCTCCAAGGGGAAGACACGGCGCTGGAAGGCTCTGGGCGGTGGAGGGCTGTACAGGAGGGGCCATGGGCCTCCTGGAACTCCCCTGGGAATGCTAGAAGGGGGCAGAGACAGCTCAGATGAAGCCCTGAGAGATTCCAATGGCATCCCAGGCCCCTCTCCCATCTCTCTCCCTCCCCCATCATCACTGCCTCTGAGGCCAGGGTACCCCAGGCTCTCCAACCCCACATATGGAGGCGGGCAGGCTCAGCTTCTGTCCAGCACCAGAGCAGTTGGAGAATGAAGTGGAACCCAAACGTGGCTCCGTCCCCCAGGGAGACAAACCTGCAGACACCCTCCTGAGACTGGGACAGGGGGACGGGGAAGCCTGGCCCAGACAGAAGCACGAATTGGTGGCGTGGGCCTGGTGTTGAGAACAGGGTCCAACATCACAACCCCGCTCGGGAGGCCAGCGTCCGGGGCCTCTGCCAGCTCTGTCCCAGACGGAATTTGTTCTCACTCTGGACACCCCCAGGGGACCCCTGTGCTCACAGGCAGATCCAGGGGGCAGGAGGGGGGCCTTCCCATGCCAAGTGCAGTTGGATGATGAACGACACCCCCAAAAGATTTGTCCAGGTCCTAACCCGAGGAACTGGAGAATGGGACCTGATTTAGAAAAGGGGTCTTTGCAGATAGATGGGATTAAGTTAAGGATTTTGAGATGAAAGCCTCCTGGATGAGGGTGGACTTGAGATCCAAGGACACGTTCTGAGAAGGGGGAAAGGTGCAGAGACACAGTCACGTGAGACGGAGGCAGAGAACTGGAGCGATGCGGACACAAGCCAAGGACTGCCTGGGCCACCGGAAGCTAGGAGCGGCAGGAAGGGTTTTCTCCTGGAGCCTTCAGCAGGAGGTGGCCCTGCCGACACCTTGATTTTGAAGTCTGGCCCCAGGACTCAGAGAGTCCACTTCTGCTGCATGAGGCCCCCCGCATGCAGTATCCTGTCATGGCAGCCCCTGCCTCATGCGGCCTGGATCTCATGAGGGGTCCACTCCCCTCGTCTCCCCGGTGGGGCGCGGCATCTTCATGCTGCCCTCTAAGGACAAGCGCATGAGAGGCCAGCCTCCCCCACCAGCAGGACAGAATGCACGAGGCCTTTACCAGGCCACACTGGCGCCTGGCGTGGCTAGGACAGCAGTGCTGCTGCCCCGCTGTGGGGCCGAAAGAAGCCAGGGATGAGGGTGCGGGCGCATCTGTGGGTCCCGGAGGCTCCAGACCCCCAGGCCAACTGCACAGCCTGCAGGCAGCACTGCCTGGCCAGCCCTGTCATCCCTCTGTCCGTACATCTAACCACTTTCTCTCTGGGGCCGCCCCGCCCAGAGTCCCTTTCCTGCCGGAGGCTGGGGCTTTCCTGGCAGCTACTCACCACTCTCCCGGTGTTTGTTCATCGAGGTTTCCCGCTGCTGACGGTTGTTTTGACTTGCTCAGAGTTGTCATGCACCTTTGCCCTGGCTATGTAAGGAGAAGGAGCCTTTATGCAATCCAGGAAGCCCGCGTCAGGCCCAGGAGGTGCGCCAGCTCTCTAGGATGCTGGCCAAGGTCCCCCGCACTTGGCCGGATCCAGGCAGGGAGTGACGGACCTGCTGGCATCCTCCTGACCCCGGTTTCCAGCTCTCCCCTCCCCCTGTCGACAACCCAGGGTCAGAGGACAGGCAGCCACCTGGCCAAGGGGCAGGCCCCCTTGTGCCCTGGATGGTGATGGCCTCTGGGGCCAGAAAGAACAAGGTGGTGAGGGGACCATGGAAGACGGCCTGGACTTTAGTGAGGGTGGATGGCTTGCTGGGCGGGTTCCTCAGGGGCAGAGGCTGGGACAGGATTCAGGGTTACATGGCATGTGACCCCTGGCCACCCCAGGAGAAGAGAGGGAAGGAGCAGGGGTCAGGACAAAGGGGCAGGTGCCCCCTGGGGGACTCAGGGGGCAGGCACCCATGGGGTACTGGGGAGGCTGCAGAGACACCTGCAGAGTTGCCCCCGCCGGCAGGAGACACTTGGCTACTTATCCCCCACCTGCCGTCAGTCGCTGTCAAGGGGCTCCCAGGGACCCTGACTGCCCAGCATGTCTGGCCTGGCTGGAGGGAGTCCCCAGGTAGCGCTGAGCCATTGTACAGGCTGGAGGGACGAGGCTGTTACTGGCGCCCAGGCTTGGGGCCATGCTGCAGCAGCCTGGGAGAGGCAGAGAGAGAGAGACACCGGGCCTTCCCCATGGCAGAGCCGGCCACTAGCTGAGCCTGGCTGAGAGGCGGTAAGGGGGCTGGGCCTGGCCCTGGAGCGAGCTCTACGAGGGGGTCTGGGGCTCACAGACAGGCCAGCACCATGCCTCCAAGAGTCAGAGAAGTGAGGCATCAGACAGGCTGTGGCCCAGTCCCACAGAAGAGGTGCCGTCTTGAGCCTCCAGTGTGCTCTGCACGGCCTGGAGGCCCGGACACGTTTTGGGTGGAGGGTGGGGGTCTCAGCCTGGGCCAGGCTCCCCATCTCACCCCTAAGAGTGGCATCGGCCCAGGGTCCGGCCAGGCCCTACTGATGTGTTCTCAGGGGCCAGGACATCAGTGCAACAGGGCAGCCGCTTGCGACAGGACCCGGCCGACTGTCCCCGTCCCCAGAGCACTTTTGGCTGCATCTGGGAGCCGCATCCCCTGTTTGTTCTCTGGAACCAGGAAGCCAGGGCTTTCCACTTCCTGGCTGCTGCAGAGGCCATGCTCTTTTTACTCTCCAAATAGGAAAGCTCCTGCAAGCCTCCTGCCAAGTGAGTGTGGAGAGCTGATCTCAGTGTGGCTGAGGTTAATGGACAGGAAGTGCCATTACCTAAATGGGCCAATAAGCTGATGAGAAGCCCGAGAAGAAAGCCTTTCCAGGCCTTGACCCAGAGAGCCGGCAGGAAAGCGGCAGGCGTCGCGGCCCCAGCAGGGAAGACCAGCTCCTGAGCTCGAGCCCCAGCTCCATCTGCAGCCTGGCCTCACCGCAGTGCCCTCGGACCTCTGCTCACCCTTCTCTGGCCTCCTCTGGCCTCCTCAGGGCTCCTGCACACACACCTGTGGGTCTACAAGGGGCAAAAAAGATCCCGGAACATCGGAGCAAGAGCCCCCCACCCGACCCCGTGTGCAAGCCCCCATTTACGTGTTGCACTCCCAGGGGCCCCTGAAGCCCTCCCTCTCGGCCTCAAAATTCCCATTGCAGACATGGTCCAGCAAGGCCAGCTGTCTGGCTTTCCGGCCGACGATCAAAACAGCAAGTCGGAATGATGATGGGCTGATGGACGCGGGCCACCGACAACCAGGTGACCACTGAGAGCAAGGAAGAAGCCACACAGATGCAAGGCCCCCAAAGTGGGAAACCCCGTGGCAGGGGCCAGGGGCACCTAAATAACAGACGTCCCACGGTGTCACCTGGGCCCGGTACAGGATGGCGGCTAGCAAGGCCGTGTCACCAGGAGGCTGAGTCACGGGGAGGCTGCGCCACTGGGAGGCTGCGCAGACTGTTGAAGGGGGCACAGGAACGTGGAATTGGTGTTGGACCAAATGAAACTGCCAACACCTGCCCTCAAAACTGGGGAGTTCCCAGTGGCTGAACCGAGGATTTCCACAATGGGGGGCACTGTTCTAAAAAGAGAAGGTTGAGGGCCTAGACCGTTGAGTTGTAATCATTCACAAAACCTTTTCCATGGAATTCTGCAGCTGGCCTGGGAAGGCTGTGCACGGTGGCCACACGGTGCTGCGGTGAAGTCTAAGGGGCTGTTCAACGTAGCACCTACATTTGGGGAATTACAGATGCCACAGCCTGCAGGGAGGCACCCACAACTGTCTCCCCCAAGGTAAAGACGACTGTCCTTCACTTACGACACACCGGGTTCCTGCACAGCGATGGCCTGGAGCATCCAGAGAAGGGTCCCTGCTCTCAGAGCCGGCCAGGCGGGCTGTGTACACGGCCACGGAAAGCACCCTTGGGGGAGGGTGTTGCTGTGATTTCTGCACCCCCACTTCCTCACGTCCTGCAACCTAGCTAGAATCTGCAATCAAAAGCTACCCAGCTTTGGAAGGCTGAGTGGGATCACTTAAGGCCAGGAGTTTGAGTCCAGCCTGGGCAACACAGCAAGTTCCCGTCTCTGAAAAAAAAAAAAAAATTAGGCAGGCGTGGTGGTGTGTCGCTGTGGTCCCAGCTCCTCAGGAGGCTGAGGTGGGAGGATCACTTGAACCCTGGAGTTCAAGGTTGCAGTGAGCCATGATCGCACCACTGAAGGTCAGCCTGGGCAACAGAGTAAGACTCTATCCCAAACGGAATTTGTTCTCACTCTGGACACCCCCAGGGGCACCCTGTGTTCACAGGCAGATCCAGGGGGCGGGAGTGAGACCTTGCCATGCCTGTCTCAAAAAAAAAAAAGCCATCAAGGATGCTTTGGGTGTCGGCCGCCGCAGGCCCCCATCTCTCTGCATCTAGCCACATCACTTGGCCCTCAGAATGGAGCAGGAATGCGAGTTCCAGGCCCAAGAGCCACAGGATGGCGGGAGCTCTCACAAAATGAGCGTGGTCTTGCTAGCGGGGCACAGGCTGTCTCCAGTGGACAGGCCACTCCCACACAGGCATGGAAGTGCAGGACGCGCTCTTCCCGTGGCCTAAGGCCCCTTGTTTCTGGAAGGATGGGTGAAAGCAGACACTACCTGTGCCAACTGGAAAGCTCTCACAACGAGATGAAACACCCGCAGGGCCGTGCCCTGCCTGCAGCAGCTCCGGCCTCGCTGTGCGTTTTCAGGGGACCTTGTGCTGCGGGTGCAACTGTTAGGGTGACCGAGGGAGGGAGGGACATGGGCAGATGGGCAGCCAGGGTACCCTCGGGAGAGGCGTGTGGCTCCGAGCTGCCGACGCACCAGCAGGAACAGGCTCCAAAGGACCCTCAGGAGCGATGACATAAAGACCCTCCCCCGCTGCAGGCACTGCCAAACATTCTGGGTGAGCTCCAGCCCAACCCTCCCACTGTTTGGATGGGGACCCCTGAGGCCCAGGAGTCCACCCAGGTCCCCGTGGTCTCCACGGGGACCAGGGGAGCCAGGCTTCATGCCTGGCCACAGCCCTTGCTGGGTAGGGGAGGTGGGTCTGACTTCCAGGGGAGCATGGTGGGGGCAGCAGGGCCTGCTCGTGGGTCCCTGCCGGGGCCAGAGCGAGGCCACTGGGTGGTGGCGTGGTTCCTAGCTCAGGCCCAGCAGCCCAGGCCTCAACACAGCCCAGAATCTCCTGCAGGCCTAATTTCTGGAGTCTGGCCAGGCACGGTGGCTCACGTCTGTAATCCCAGCACTTTGGGAGGCCAAGGCAGGTGGATCCAAGGTCAGGAGTTCGAGACCAGCCTGACCAACATGGTGAAACCCCATCTCTACTAAAAATATAAAAATTAGCCGGGCGTGGTGGTGGGTGCCTGTAATCCCAGCTACTTAGGAGGCTAAGGCAGGAGAATCGCTTGAATCCAGGAGGTGGAGGCTGTAGTGAGCCAAGACTGCACCATTGCACTCCAGCCTGGGTGACAGAGAGAGACTCTGTCTCAAAATAAATAAATAAATAAGTAAATTTATTTATTTCTGGAGTCTTCATCTTACAAAGACGCAGGGGCCGGAGCTGCCCCTCACAAAAGGCAAGAATGGGCTGCGTGTCAGAGTCAGGCCCAGACCAGGGACAGCAAAGCCACTGGCAGACAGGCGAGGATGAGGACAAGGCCCTGCTGCCGGACACAGTGTGTTGTCTGCACTGAAGGGGGGCCAGCGAGTGCGCAGATGGCAGCCCAGACAGGGAGGAGCCCCTAGCACAGGCCTCTCCTGGGCTCCAGGCACTTCCAGAAGAGGAACAGTTAGGAGAAGGCAGGTAAAGGGGTGGGGCCAGGGCCAGGAGGGGCAGGGTGCCTGCTGTGGCTCTGAAGTTACTGCAGATGCCCTCAGGGGCACAGCGGGGTGACTCCACCTTCCACAGTGACTCTGCAAGATGGACGCCCCTGCCCTATTTCTCAGGCGGGAAATGGGTTCCAGCAGTATCCAGACCACACCCTTGGAAGGGCAGAACCAGGAGCCCCCGTGCCGGGGGGCTTCATAGCCACGGCCTCTCACTGCCCTACCAGCAGGGTCACTGCCCCATCACCAGGAGCCTCTCAAGGGGTGTCCCCACGCACACAGCAGAAAATCCCAAGGACTGGCAACTGCTTGAGCCTCCCGAAGTCCTGGGATTACAGGCGTGAGCCACCACGTCCGGCCCTGCCAGGGCTTTCGGTTGCCGTGTGTGCACGTCTCTGTGTGTGCACATGCATGCACAGGTGTTAAATCTCAGGCCGGGGATGGTGGCTCACACCTGTAATCCCAGCACTTTGGGAGGCCAAGGTTGGCGGATCACTTGAGGCCAAGAGTTCGAGACCATCTGACCAACATGGCGAAACCCCATCTCTACTGAAAATATGAAAATCAGCTGGGCATGGTGGCACGCACCTGTAGTAGTCCCAGATACTCAGGAGACTGAGGCACAAGAATTGCTTAAACCTGGGAGGTGGAGGTTGCAGTGAGCGGAAATGGTGCCACTGCACTCCAGCCTGGGCAACAGGGCGAGACTTTGTTTAAAAAAAAAAAAGAAAGAAATTGTCATCTCTGTCTCTCTGTTTTGCATTCTGGTCAAATTCCGTATTTCTCTCTTCTATTTCACTAATTCTCTTTTCAACTGTGTACTTCATCCTATCCCATCTTCTGAGCCTTTTGTCTCGGTGACTGTATTTTTCATTTCCAGGATGTGCCATTTTCATAACTATCTGTTCTTGTCTTGAATCTGCCATTCAGTTTTTGTAATGTATTTACTTTAATGGCTGTGGTCCTTTTTCTTATCTCTTTGGTAGATTAAGTCTTTATTAGATTCCTCCATAAACTTTACTCCATCTGGAATGAATTCATGTTCTGGGTATGAATTTTGTTGGTTGTTTCTTTTTTAATTTCAATGAAATTAGGATAACGTAAAGTTAGCAATTTAAAAGTGTGCAATTTAGTGGCATTTAATACACTCAGGATGTTGTGTACCCATAACTGTTTCTTAACATGCAAAATCCCGTGCTTCTGAATTGGGGCTTGCAGACTCATTTTTAAAAGTTTAGTCATTGGATCAGGATATGGGAAATCAATTCTCTGAAAGTCAGTTCACAAAATGACCTTGATTGGTCAGTTTGCTGAAAATCAATTCTCTAAACGATACATTTTCCAAGACTTCAGACAGAAACTTTAAACCTTGTCTGGGCAGTTGGCCGCAGCCATTTGGCAACACAGGCAGGAGCAGGGGCTGAAAATTCCAGCAAAATACGTGAGCCAGGGTTAAGGGCACATTCAGAAGAAAAGACATTCAGTCGAGCTGGACCAATGCATATCAGGAAAAGTGGCCGCCATAAAACAGCGAGAAGCCTTTGGAGGCCATTTTTTTATTCACTAACTAGATCACTCCGTGAAGTCGGCTCGGGTCCACCCAGGTCTAGGCAAACAGAGTTGTAGCAAATTGATCTAATTCTGAAGACAAAGTGGCAAGTAGACGTCGAGGGCACGGTGGAGTCCTGGCTTTCCACAAAATTCTGCTAGCTGTGTGACCTCAGGCAAGTCGCTGAGCCTCTCTGTACCTCAGTTTGCCCCTCAGGGTTCCTGTAAGGATTAAATGAGGTCGCCTAGGTGTTGGCGGAGGTTAGTAACCTCCTGGTGGGAGAGCTCTCCAGGCTGTCCAGGGCCTGCACCATCAGCCCTCAGGGCCCTTCCTGCTGCCCTCACAAGCTGATGCCACTCTGGGCCCTGGGTTTCAGGAGAAAATGACCTCTGTAGAAGCTCCCCCTGCCCAGCCCTGGGGAGGAGGCAAGCCAGGGGAGCTCTCGCGAAAGCCCCCAGGAGCACAGCTCTCCTCCCTTCCTTCTCCCTGATCGGTGGACCTATGCAGGGACATGACAGCAGCGTGTCACCCACCCTGGCCACCACTCCCTCCTGGCAGCCCCAGACTGACAGTCTCTGCCTTTCCTTCTTTCTAGTGGCAGCGTCTCTAAAGCAGCTTCTCTTTCGCCTGTTTCCGACCTGACCCCATCACCGGCTGCCCGAGGCCACCCTGCAATCAGCCATATAGGCATTCCCAAAGCCCAGTGAACCCCTGATAGTACGGTGTCCGCCAGGAATGAGGTGGGCACTGGAAATCCATGCATGATAGGAACCAGAAGAGGGTTGGCCCTTCACCCTCCCCACCTTCTGGCCCCCAGACTGGTAGCTTGCCCCCGGGGCCTCCTCTGGGCTAGGGTCTGCCCACCAATGCTTGCTCCTGTGACAGGCAACAGCAACTCCAGATGTCCCATCACAGCTGCCCACCGGACACAGATATGGGGACACCAAGTGCGCAGGGGGCAAAGTCATCTGCGTTGTGCTCAGCTGCCGCCGCCACACAACAGCACCAGAAGAGCTCCCGCCGGGTGTGCTCACACCACACGCTCTCACTGCACACATGCTGGGTTGGTGCCCCGTCCGCTGAAGGGACATGCCACCGAGCATGCCGGGTGCCACCGAGCTGCTGGCATGTTCGGTGCCTGCTGGCTGAACCTCGGAGTTGCGTGGCGGTGGCTTTGCTTCATCACTGTCTGGTTCACCGTGCTCTAAGTTCGGGAGCCCTGCGAGCAGTGATGCGTGGCCACGTCTACAGCCTCGCTGGCCTGTCACGTTCCCAGGTCAGGCTCTCAGCTCCAGCGGGAATCTCCCATTCCCCTACTGTCTTAGTCCATTCTGGCTGCTATAGCAAAATCCCACAGGCGGGCGGCTTCTCAGCAGCAGAAACCTATTTCTCACAGTCCTGCAGGCTGGAAGTCCCAGACCAGGTGCCCGCGTGGCCGGGCTCTGGCGAGGGCCCACCTGCGGCTTGCCCATGAGCGTCTTCTCACTGTGTCCTCACACGTGGAAGGAGCAAGGGATCTCTCCTTCCTAAGGGCACTCATCCCAGCATGAGGGCTCTGTCCTTCAGGCCTAATCACCTCCCAAAGGCCCCACCTCCTAATGCCACTGCTTTGGGGGTGAGGATTTCCACCTGAGTTTTGGGGGAACATGAGCGTCCAGCCCTCAGCAGCTGTTACTGTGACCCGCAAACCTGCCGCCCCCCTGCTCTTGCCCAGCGATCCACAGGCACCCCAGCCCTTCCCATAGCAGGGACAGGAAAGGATTCAGATCCCACGAGGAAAGCCCAGTTCACACATCCAGCTCAGCCCTGCATGTCCCACGTCCTGCTGGGAGCTAGTGGTGTTCATCATAACTCAGCCCCAAGGCAGCCAGCAGCACAGGTGCCACCAACATACAGGGAAATCTGCATCACTTGGTGCCTGTCTGGTGTTCAGTTTCTAGGTGGCTGGTTCTACCCCTGCCATGCACGGGTTCCCACCCCCGCAGCTGCCTCTTCTATCCCCATGATCAGGGGTGGCCAGGCCCCCCCTCCCCTTCTTGGTGGAGCCAGCACTTCCTGCAGGTTCTGGACAACTGGCTGAGACTGGCCTGGGTGCTCAGGGTGCCAGGACTGCTCAGGCCACGCCACACCCAGGCTGGGAGCTGCAGCCGCCACAACAGCACCTCCCAGCTGCCCTCTGCTGCTGCAGCCAACATCACAATGTCATGTCACAGCAGGTGACACAAACCCCACACAGGCACAGTCCACGCAGCCCCAGTCCCATCTCATCTCTCCTTCTCTGTCCCTGCTCCCAGCCTATTCAGCCTGAAAACCCACCCCCTCCCTGGCAGAGTCAGCTGGCCCCGGGCCCACTAGGGGGACCAGCACTGATGCTGCACACTGCCAAGTCACCCAGCAGACATGAGGGCAGGAGAGCAGGCTGGGCAGGACCACCCACTGACCTGTCCCCCTGCCTCCTGGGGCTTCCACGTCCCCACCTATGCATGGGATCTGCGGGGGCTGCACCCACAGGCTCGCTGTGAGCAGGATGAGCTCCATGCGTGGTGAGGGGTCTCCACATGTTCCTGTTATTGCGGATACAGTGACAAGCCCTGAATTTCAAGCGCTCCCATCCAGCAGGAGCGGGGCAGAGAGTGGGGGCTGGGGCTTCCATGAGGGGCCGTCTCACCAAGCCCTAGGCTCGGGCACCAGAATCACACTCTGTACTGGGCTCCCTGTTTTGAGGCACTCCAGGGCTTCCCAGGGCCCTTCCAGGTGCCCTCCTGCCAAGGGTCCAGGGGTCTCAGGTTCCCTGCGCTTGCCTGTCTGGGAAGAAGCTGAGCTGATGGACCCCGCACCCCACAATACCACTGTCCTGGGGCTTTAACACTTAAGAGACCAGCACTCTCCCCACCGTTTTACTTTCTGAACCTTTCAAACACATGGCAATTTATTTAGCCAGTTGTGCAGTGAAGACCCATGCACTCCCAGACACTCCCATGCACAGCGCACTACACTTGCCTAGCCCAGGTCCATCCACCCATCTTACTTCTGATGCATTTCAAAGTAAGTTATTGCAGCATTTCTCACAGAAAAAAACAAATCTAAAGATCCATCACTAGGCAAGACTAGTGAATAAACCACAGCATATCCATACAAGGGAATATTATGTTCCATTTAAGAGTGAGGTATGGGGCTGGGGGTGGTGGCTCACGCCTGTAATCCCAGCACTTTGGGAGGCTGAGGTGGGTGGATCACCTGAGGTCAGGAGTTCAAGACAAGCCTGGCCAACAGGGCGAAATCCTGTCTCTACTAAAAATACAAACACTGGACAGGCATGGTGGCATGTGCCTGTAGTCCCAGCTACTCAGGAGGCTGAGGCAGGAGAATCGCCTGAACCAGGAAGGCAGAGGTTGCAGTGAGCCAAAATGGCACCACTGCACTCCAGCCTGAGTGACAGAGCAAGGCTCCAACTCAAAAAAAAAAAAAAAAAAAAAAGTGAGGTACGTTCCCAAGATACATGGTCAAGTGAATATGGAAAAGTACAGAACCGTGAACAGACAAAGCTACCATCTGTGCAAACATCTACACAAAGATCCTGCCTAAGCCGCAGAAAGTGGAGGCGGCAATCCCTGGGGCCGGCCTCGGCCAGGAGGGGTCCAGGTCCTCCCACAAATAACCCAACCTCCCGTCCTTCAGAGGCACAGCCCTTGGAGGTGCCTGGTGGAACTGAGCATGGCTGCTCTCCGTGGGAACCGCTCAGCAACTCAGCTGCACAGACTCCTTTCTTCCCACCTCTCCATCCCACTGCTCCCTCCTGTCCCCTCGGGCTTCCTGGGTCACCTCCAGGTAATCCACCTGCACCCAAGCCCCTGCCTCGGCTCTGCCTTCAGGGGAACCCAAACCAAGACACATCTCTTTTACATCAAATGCAGTGTGTTTTTCTGCTGATAGACATGGAAAGGCCCTCAGGGGAAACACAAGAATCTGGCGACAATGACCGCCTTTGGAGAGACACCAGTAGGAGACACCAGTAGGACGTTTACTACTCACTCTTCCTTTAGTTGCTTCTGTGCCTTCTGAAACTTGTTCCCTGGGCATATCTAACTTACTCAAAAACTTACTCTTTCATAAAAGACATCAACTCCTAGACGTCTGCGCGAGAGAAGCGGAAACACAAGTGCCGTGACGTGTTCAGCCACTTGATTCCCAATAGCCACAACGTGGGCACCCCAGCATCCATCAGCTGCTGGGCAGATGCACAGGACACGCATACGATGAAACCTGTTCGGCCATGGAAAGGAGGGAGGCTCTGACTCACGCCACAGCACAGACAAGCCTCAGGACATGCTGCTCAGTGAGAGGCCACATCCTGTGACTCTGCTGCTGGGAAATATTCAGAGCAGGCGCATCCACAGGGACAGGAGCTATGCCAGGGCTGCCAGGGCCTGGGACAGGAACGGGATGAGCCGTGAAGGGGCACACAGGGTCTATCTGGAAGGATGCAATGTTCCGACGGTGGATCGTGCTGGTGGCTGCATGATGCAGTGACAACTGCTGAATCGTACACCTGAGACTTGGGTAGCATGCAAACTCCACCTCAGTAAAGTTTTTTAAAAACAACAACAAAAAGGTGACTGACACCTCAGAACCTCCAAGTGGGGGCAGCGGCGGGCACTGCCTGCTCCTGCTGGCGGGAACTGGGTGGGCTGAGCCCCCGCAGGCAGTCCTCCCGGGAAGGCCTGGCTGCCAATGCCTGGACACAGCTATCTGGGTGACCGGGCTCCACGACATTTGCATAGGATGCAGCAGGGTAGCCACAGCACGCCCCTTTCTCAATCTCATTTCTGCAACTCAAATAAGAAAATCTTAAACAAATAAACCAACAAAAGGAGTGACACACGGAGCTCCTGGCCGGGGTGCAGGGCTGTCTTGAGCCCCCAAGGATCTCTGTGCAGACAGGCTCTTGGCCCACACCACTGCCCAATCCTCCTTCTGATGGGCTGTGACCCAGGGACACTTCTGTAGGCATCGTCCTGCACGGGTGGAATGGGAGGGCTGAGGCCAGGCCAGGCAGCGTCCTGTACACTCAGGAAGACCCCATGACTTCGCAGGGGGTGGCAAGGACCCAGGAAATGTCCATCCCCCATTTTATCCACAACAACACTGAGGAGCCCTCAGGTCCTGGCTTTTACACCCCTCCCCCACGGGCCCATTGCCCCCTGTGGTAGGTAGGCCATTCTTGCATTGCTATAAAGAAACAAACTGAGACTGGGTAATTTATAAAGAAAAGGGGTTTGATTGGCTCAGGTTCTGTAGGCTACACAGGAAGCATGGCACTGGCATCTGCTTGGCTTCCGGTGAGGCCTCAGGAAGCTTTCAATCATGTCGGAAGGCACAGGAGGAGCCCATGTGTCGCACAGCAAGAGCGGGAGGGCAGGTGGCAGGTGGAAGATGCCACAGACTGTTTCCCAGCTCTCTCGAGAGCTCACTGACTATCACAAGGACAGCACCAAGCCAGGAGCCACCCCTATGATCCAGCTCCTCCCACCAGGCCCCACCTCCAGCACTGGGGACTACATCCCCACATGAGACCAGAGCGGGACATCCAAGCTATATTGCCCTCTTCAACAGGGAGGAGCAGAGGCTGCACACTGTGTGCTGCTCAGAGCAGCCAGAGACCAACAGCAAACGAAAAGGAGAAACACCAACACCAAACGAAAAGAAGGAGAAACACCAACACCAAACGAAAAGAAGGAGAAACACCAACAGCAAACAAAAAGGAGAAACACCAACACCAAACGAAAAGAAGGAGAAACACCAACACCAAACGAAAAGAAGGAGAAACACCAACACCAAACGAAAAGAAGGAGAAACACCAACACCAAACGAAAAGAAGGAGAAACAGAGCCAGCACAAGGCGGGACCAACCCTGGGCGTGTTCAACAGAGCCCTGCAGCTCTATAATGTTTTAGTTATTAAAGTGAATGTGGCCAGGCATGGTGGCTCACACCTGTTATCCCAGCACTTCGGGAGGTCACGGCGGGCAGATCACCTGAGGTCAGGAGTTCAAGACCAGCCTGGCCAACATGGCGAAACCCGATCTTTACTAAAAAAAATATATAAAAATTAGCTGGGCGTGGTGGTGCATGCCTATAATCCCAGCTACTCTAGAGGCTGAGGCAGGAGAATCGCTTGAACCTGGCAGGTGCAGGTTGCAGTGAGCCGAGATCGCGCCATTGCACTCCAGTCTGGGTGAGAGTGAATGAGACTCTGTCTCAAAAATAAAAATAAAAAATAAAAAATAATAAAGTTAATGTAAGAATAAGGGGAACTTTGAAAAAGCAGTTTTCTTATCATTTAAGGCTTATTGGTGTAACTACATCTCCTTAAACCATTAAAACCATAATCAATGATTTAGGGTGAGTGATTCTTCCAAACACCTTAAACTTCTTGAAAGCAAACAAAACACACAAACATATAAACTGGGTTCCACACAATCAGGGTTTGCGTCATCTATTTGTTTCTCTGCTTGTGTAAACCACCCTAGCTTATAACACTGCCTGTTTTGAAGACTTCTTGGAGTTTAAGTAATATTACGTTCATACTTTGCTGGGGTTACAGAAGACCTTTGTGACCCAAAGGAAAAATGTTACCTTTTCAGCCTAATGGTGATTATGGGATGAATAATCCACCTATTGGCTGATTTTTAACTTAAAAAAATGTTTTCGAGACAGGCTCTCACTCTGTCACCCAGGCTGGAGCGCAGTGGCACCATCCTGGCTCACTGCAACTTCAAACTCCTGGACTCAAGCAGTCTTCCCACCTCAGCCTCTTGAGTAGCTGAAACTGCAGGCATGTGCTACCACACCTGGCCAATTTTTTCTTCATAGAGATAGGGTCTTGCTCTATTGCCCAGGCTGGTCGCAAACTCCTGGCCTCCAGTGATCCTCCCATCTCAGTCTCTCAAAGTGCTGGATTACAGGCATGAGCCACAGGGCCCGGCCAATTTTTGACTTTTTATTAGGAAATTGCCAAATATATACCAACGGAAAGCAAAGTATACTAAACACCCTGTACCTGTCAGCCCTGCAGCCCTCATCACAGTGGCTGGTGACCAGTGGCCTCTCATCTGTACCCCATGGCACCCTGAGCCCCGTCCCCACGCGAGCACCACTGGCGTATTTTGAAGTAAATCTCTCCTTGCACCACCAACAGTGCAGCAGAATCTCTAAATGACAGCTCTTTCTAAAAAATAATCACGATCCCATTATCACACCCCAAAATAAGTAATTCCTTCATACCACCAAAGTTCCCAACTGCCTCATCAATGCTTTTGGTAGCCTCTGTCTGTTTGGTTAGTTTATGACAATCAGGGTCCAGGCAAGGTCTGCGTGCTGTGTTTGGCGGCTAGAGCTCATCTACCTTTTTTTTAATCAACAGACAAGATTCCTTCTCTTTTTCCTTTCATTGATTTGTTGAGGACAGGACACCAGGTTGTTGCCGGGTCTCATGGCCTGTGTGTGGCTGGGTGCAGTTCAGCACATTCCCCTCTGTGCCTGGTACACCAGTGCGTAGAACCAGAGGCTGGCCTCATTCAGGCTGGTCCCAGTGGGGCCGTGTGATTCCCAGCACGTCCCATCCGAAGGCGCACGGCGTCTGGTTGTCCCTGTCCTTCTGATTAGATCGATTGGGGTCCATCTATGGCCAGCCTGCCTCACACCGTGAAGGCCCCCGACAGCCTGTCGCCTCCTAATTTCTGCAGCCATTGAGGACCAATGCCCACATCTGAGATTTCACTGGAAGTTGCAAAATGGCAATATTTTAATTCATTCTTCATTTATTAGCTAACTTTTTTTTTTTTTCTTTTTGAGACGGAGTCTCTCTCTGTCGCCCAGGCTGGAGTGCAGTGGTGTGATCTCGGCTCACTGCAAGCTCCACCTCCCGGGTTCACGCCATTCTCCTGCCTCAGCCTCCCGAGTAGCTGGGACTACAGGCACCCGCCACCACGCCCGGCTAATTTTTTGTATTTTGAGTAGAGACGGGGTTTCACTGTGTTAGCCAGAATGGTCTCAATCTCCTGACCTTGTGATCCACCCACCTCGGCCTCCCAAAGTGCTGGGATTACAGGCATGAGCCACCACGCCCGGCCTATTAGCTAACCGTCTATGAAGAACTTTCCATCATCAACTCTTTGTTTGCCAGGACAAGCAGGATACATACTTGATTCTGTCCCTTTATGAGTTTTCAGAATAAGGTGATCCCCCACCTTTTTCAAGGTGAAGGAGTTATTAATCACCTTTTAAAAAATACCCATGACGGCAAGCAGCGGTGCAGGCCATGCAGCATAAGGCAAGGTGGCCTGGGTGTGCAGAGGCCACAGCCACGGAGGGAGTCCAGGGAGGAAACCGCGCCATGGAGACCTCAATGAAGCCAGGGCCTGAGCCTGGCAGGAAAGGGGACGTCACGTACCAAGGTCCCGAGGCAGGGGGGACCTGAAGATGGACGTGTGGTACAGGTTACCTGGCACAGCAAGGGAGGTGGCTGGAGCCTGAGGGACGGCCACACGGGCAGAGAAGACACTCGGGGCTCTCGTCTCGGCTCCCATTCTGCCTGCGCTGGAGCTGCAGCTGCTGCCCGGGGCACGGAGAATTCGAGGGAGAGGCTTTCCAGGCAAGTCCAGGGGAGTGAGAGACACAGAAGTTAAGGGTCCCTTGAATGGTGATTAACATGACAGCCATGCAACCTGAACAGAGAAGAGGGAAGGGAGGGCCAGGGCAACAGCACCCCAGGGCCATGGGAAGCCAGCAGGCGTTGTGGCTGAGCTGGGGAGAACAAACACCGTGAAGGGGCCACTGAGGGGCCCAGCCAAGGCAGCCAGGCTGGCTGGACAGTTCGGGAGGGCCTCATGGGCAGCTCTGAGGCAGGGGCGATGCGTGGCGGCAGCTTCACGGTCCCTGAGGGGCAGTGCCATCTCCCCAAGGCTGCGAGCCAGGGCTTCCCTGTGCCCCCCACTGTTGCCCCTTCTATGCCCCTAGCCCTTCTGATGAGTCAGCTGGTGCCAGGTAGGAGGGGGGATAATTTACAACCAACATTTGCATTTTAACAGGAACGTCCTTGAGACAATTTCCTAAAGCAAAAGAGCGACTGTGGTGTTATCAGTAGCCACCATGTAGGCGTCAGCTCCTTAGTCCAACTGCCAGCCCCTGAGCCACTGTTTTCCCCTTTCGTGGAAGAGGAAACTGAGGCTGAAGGTTGAGCAGCATGCCAAGATTCCACGAGAGGGCAGCCGGAGCCCAGCCACCCTCCTCCAGTGGCTGCCACACCCTGGGGGACCTCACCAATCCCTGCCACTACCCCTACCCACTGCAGCCTAGCCCTTGGGTGGCAAGAGAGGGCAGGGTCAGCAGCATAGCTGGATAAACCGACCATCAGCAGAGACCCTGGGACCCCTCAGCCATCGCCTGAGGGAGGCTCCTCCGGATGGGACCAGCTGGCCTAGTGGCTCTGGCCAGGGCTGCAGGGAACAGGATGCTCCCTCTCAGAAGCCGACTCAGCTCTGCCACGCGGCTCAGCTCTGCCATGTGACTCAGCTCTGCTACGTGGCTCAGCTCTGCCACAGGGCACAGGATGGAATGCCCCAAGATGCCGCAATGCTCCTCCTGGTCCTCCAGTTACGCGGCCTCCCCTTGGATGTTTCTAACAGTATACGTGTGCTTGTTTCTGGGGCTCCCCCGAGTGGGAGCCTGGGAAGGACCAGCCGTCCACAGGGCCCTTGGTCTCTGCCCCAGCCGGTGGTAAAGTGTGGCTGCGGCTGTGCTACCACCTCCAGGTGAGGGGCCAGCCACAGGTGGTCTTTTGTGTGATGGGCTGTCTAGGGAGGCCCTGCTGCCCATGGGTGCCATCGATTTGCAGTGCAGGGGCCCATATGACCCTGGAGGAAGGACGTCCTGTGAGCCTTGAGCCTGTGCAGCAGCCCAGATCAGAACCACACACTGGAAACCCCCTTCAGCTAAGGTGGTCTCTCCCCCAACACAATCCCCCTGACCAAGACTTCCTGACGTCCTGAGGGTGCGTCTGCCTTCCAAGGCGAACATCTCACACCAACTCTGCAGCCAGCAAGTTTGCGTTAGAAGCTGGAAGCCTGCTGTTGGGGGAGCAGACCAGGACTCCTCACACCCCAAGAGTGGCTGCTAGACACTCCCTAGCATGCCCCGTGCCTGTCTGACCCCATGAAGCCTGACCCTGATCGCCGAGTGTGGCTGACTTTCTGAGCCCCTAAGGAAAAACTCCAGAGTGACCCTTAAACTTTGTAAAGGGCAAAGAGGCCTGTGGGCGGAGACGGGGGAGGGGTTTCTGCTGGGTCCTGCCTGAACAGGTCTGAGGCCAAAGGATCCCTAGGGCCGTCCTGGGTCAGAGTGAGGGGGGGCACACAAGCCCTCAGGACCCACCAGGCGAGTCCAGGGAAGGCCCATGAAGGTGGCCACCGTGAGCCTTGTGGTCCACAGGGCCAGGCTGGCACATGCTGTGTTCTCACCCAGAAAGGCCGTTCCAGCTCCTTCTGGACTCCTCCTCCTCCTCCCCAGTGTTCTCTGTCTCTCTGCCCACCCCGCTCTCTGTCTCCCTCACACACAGAGTATAGAATTGTGGGGAGATGACTCTGTATTTCCTCATCGTGCATTTATCACAGTGACTCATCCATCTGTGGCTGCTGGGTGACTGGCAGGGTTTGCGTTGAGCTTCCGAGTGAGGTTGATTCGGAAGAGGAAGGCATGACTGCCTGGCTATTAGCAGAATGTCCGGCGTGGGCAGTGCCACCCAGCTGTCGACACTGACACCCAGGCTACCCTGACAGGTGGCCACAGGGGGATGTGTGTGTACGCAGAGTTTCTCAGGACTCAACCTTCTTAAAAAGGAGGTTTGCAGTGAAGAGCACAGGGGTACCCATCGGGAGAGGACGGAAATGCTTCCATCAACCCACTGGGTTTGGGGAACAAAGCAGAAGTGTGTTAGGGCAGGTGTCAGACCACCTGCGAACCCTGGGCTGCTGGAGGCCTGGCCTCTTGCACGAGCCTCTATCCACTCAGATTCACGGCAGGATCTGCCCCCGACAAAGGACTTCACCTGGACCGAGCTCCTGGGCCCCAAGCAGCTGACATTTGATTCTCGCAACAACTGTGCAGTAAGTGTGGTTACAGCCCCCACTCCGTGCCCAGAAAGTTCCACCATCTGACCAGGCAGGCGCAGAGACCCATGGCGGGGCAGGGCAGAACCCCCCGCCCGTGAACATCTCCCGCCCCAGCTTCCCTTTGCGGGGCGCCGCAGCACTCCTGGGTTCTCCCCCTCCGCGGGGCGCCACAGCACTCCTGGGTTCTCCCTCCAAAGGGGAAGAATGATGGAGACGGCGAGAATCTGCATGTGCCCGTGGCTGGCAACTGCTTGTGAGAAGGAGACCAAAGTCATCGGCTCACATCAGGACTTCCACCTGGCCTCTCCCGGAGGCCACCTCGCTTGGACAAACTCAAGTTTCCAACTGAACTAGGAGAAGAGCAGATGCTTGCTGGAAAGAGGGATCTGTCCCAGGCAGACTGGCCCACATTTCAGTGGCAGGGCAGCAGCCCTTCCTGAGATTCTCTCTGAAATGATTTTTTGACTAGGATGTGGAGAAGACACACAGAAAGAGAGGTCTTTCCGAAGCAGTGAAATTTTACAACAATTCAAAGCTGCTACCACTTGCTTTGGCTGGGATCCAGCTACTGAAATCCAGAGACATCTATGAAAACACCCCTAATGTGAACCTGCTGCCCGAACTCCAGCTCACTCCCTTGTCCTGTGGAGCACGGACTCCCAGGAGTGGTGCTCTATAGCCCCAGAGAGCACCCAGGCCAGCCAGCTGATTTCACCCATCTCTCTCTCAAACACACGTGCACACACACACACACACACACACGCACACAGCACTCCCCTGCCACACACTATCACTCACACATGCTGACACACAAAGGCATCCAAATTGGAAAAGAAGTAAAATCCTGTTTGTACACCGAAAACTAAAGATTACACACACACACACATCTGCTAAAACTAATAAATGAATTCAGCAAAGTTGCAGCATACAAACTCAACCTGCAAAAATCAAGCTCATTTCTATACGCTAACAAATGGCAACCCAAGAACAAATGAAGAAAGCAAGTCCATTTGTAGCATCAAAGTGAATGACACACTTAGAAATTAAACAAGGAGGTGAACGATTTCTACAATAAAAACTACAAAATGTTGCTGAAAGACATTAAAAAAGACATTAAAAGACATCCCATGTTCATGAATTGGAAAACCTAATATTGAGATGTTAATACTACTCAAAGCAATCTATAGATTCAACGCAATAACTACCTACCTAAATCCAACAGCACTTTTTAAAGAAATTTTAAAATCCATTCTACAATTCATATGGAATTGCAAGGGACTCTGAATAGTCAAGACAATCTTTTTTTATTTAAAAAACTTTTTTCCATCTTTTTTTAGAGACAGGGCCTTGCTCTGTCACCCAGTCTGAAGTGTAATGGCATGATCATAGCTCGCTGTAGCCTCGACCTTCTGGGCTCAATTGATCCTCCTGCCTCAGCTTCCTGAGTAGTGCGATCTCAGCTCACTGCAACCTCCACCTCCCAGGCTCAAGCAATTCTCCTACCTGAGCCTCCCAAGTAGCTGGGACTACAGGTGCACACCACCACATCCAGCTAGACGGGGTTTCACCATGTTGGTCAGGATGGTCTTGATCTCTTGACCTCGTGATCTGCCCACCTCTGCCTCCCAAAGTGCTGGGATTACAGGTGTGAGCCACTGTGACTGGCCAATTTTTTTAAAATTGTTTATTGTAGAAACAAGGTCTCTATGTTGCCCAAGCTGCTCTCAAACTCCTGGCCTCAAGCAATGTTCCCACCTCAGCCTCCCAAAGCCCTGGGATGACAGGAGTGAGCCACCACGCCCGGCAATCAAGGCAATCTGGAAAGAATAAAGTTGGAAGACTCACACTTTCATATTTCAAAACTTACTACAAAGCTACAGTAATCAATGGAGTGTGATACAGGCATGAAGACAGACATATGGACCAGTGGAATACAACAGTCCAGAAATAAACCCTGGCATGTATGGCCAGATGATTTTTGATGAGAGTATGAACACCATTTAATGGGGAAAGGACAGTCTTTCCATCAAATAGTGCTGGGAAAATTGGAAATCCAGTTAAATTTTTTAAAAAAGTGAAGTTGGATCTTTACCTTACACCGTATACAAAAATTAACTCAGCCAGGCATGGTGGCTCACACTTGTAATCCTAACACTTTGGGAGGCTGAGGTGGGAGGATCACTTGAGGCCAGGAATTTGAGACCAGCTTGGGCAACATAGTAAGACCCCATCTCTGTCTGTAGTCCTAGGTACTCACCTGAACACATGTGGTCCATCCACAAAATGGGATATTACTCCGTTTTTAAAAGTAGGGAAATTCTGACACATGCTACAACATGGATGAGCCTTAAGGTTTAAGATGGTAACATTTTTTTTTTTTTGAGATGGAGTCTTGTTCTGCCGCCCAGGCTTGAGTGCAGTGGCACGATCTCAGTTCACTGCAACCTCCACCTCCTAGGTTCAAGCGATTCTCCTGCCTCAGCCCCCTAAGTAGCCAGGACTACATGTAGCCATCAACACGCCCAATTAATTTTTTGTATATTTAGTAGAGATGGGGTTTCATCATCTTGCCCAGTCTGGTGTCAAACTCTTGACCTCAAGTCATCCGCCCGCCTTGGCCTCCCAAAGTGCTGGGAATACAGGCATGAGCCACCGCACCCAGCCACAATGGTAAAATTTGTATTGTGTATTTTACAGTAATAAATATGCCAAAGGCTAAAAAAAATAAAGGTACAGTGGCCAGAGGAAGAAGGGCCCAACCTGGAATTGGAGCAGAGCTGTGGGTGGGTGAAGACCCCGTGGTAGGCAATGCATTTTAGCTGATGGGGTGCAGTAGTGTGTGCCGGGCAAAGCGGACAGTTCCAGCTCCCACATCCAGGCTGCAGGGCCTTCATCCACCCAGCTGGGAATGCCTGCTCACTCTGCAGGAATGTGCAGCTGCTACTCACCCCGTCTTGTGACCACCAGCAAATGGTTTGTTGGTGTTAAGCTGTGGCCTCAGCCACCTCAACAGGGCCCTGTCTGGCCATGGAGACGTTCCCCAAGTTCCAGTCATTGTCAGCTGCTGGGACACTGCGGTACTGAATCAGCCCGTTGGAGTCATCCAAGTGTGAAAAGGTACCTGAATGAGGGCAGCCTGGGGACAGGAGAGCTTTCTGGAACATGGGGCAGGAAGGTAGCCTGGACTTCTGAGACACAGCCACTGGCCCTGGCCCTGGCCCTGGCCCAGTGCCCGGGAGCAGCCTAGCCTCCTCCTCCCAACACCCCTGCTCCCAGGCGCCAGGACAAGGGGCCAGAGGAGACCCAGATGGCCCAGATCCAATCCTTCCATGGTCCCCTGGGTGGGGCCAGTGCAGGGACCTCCCGGAAGCCACTGCTGTCTCCATCGCCACCCAGACTCAGGCCAGTCTGAGAACCCAGGATTAGGAAGTCATCTCTGAGATGGTCGGGTTAACACTTTCACGTGGTGGGTTAACATCTGCTGTTATAAACTTCACCGTAAACACACACTGTGCCTTAAGACGTTAGCTAATGAGAATACAACAAACACATAATTTTAAATGTACACACACACACACAAATAGCTGGGTGTGCAAACATTTTTTACACTTTACACAAAAGAACTTGGTGGCTTCTAGGCTGGAAGACGAGGCCCTCTGAGTCCTGTTGGGAGCGTGGGGTGTGATCCTGGGACAGAAGCCTTCAGCTGAAGGGGTGGGCAGGATGGAGGCCCTTCCACCAACAGAACCCTGAAAGGGACTTGGGACAAATGGCCAGCCTGCCCGCAGAGGGCCTGGAAGGGCAGGCCGGGAGCAGAGGAGGCTGCTGTCTAAATATGAGGCGCTATTCCTGGCGGCCACATGTTCACATTGCCCACAGAGCCCAGAGGGCAGCTCCGGACACAGCCAGGCCTGGGGGAGGGGCGAGCCTGGTATTATGGGAGAGGGTGGTCAGAATGCCACCAGCCAGGACTGATGCAGGGTGAGGACAGGGGACCAGGCCTCCTCCCACCTGTGACTCTCCCTGTCCTGCCCACCCACCCACGGAACCACAGGAATGTGCTAGGGATTGCAGGGGATGTTGTGCCCACTCTGCTACCTTCCATCCCTGTGCACTGCCCTACCAGCCCCCTCCCCGCACCTGCTGCAGGGGCCCCGGGGGTGCCAGGGCCTGCCCAGGTCCCAGATCCAGACTTTCAAGGTGTGCAAATCACAGGATTTGTCCTAACAAGAGGGAGGGAAGCTTCCAATGTCATCTCCCTGCATTTCTGAGCCACCGAGGACTTCAGAATCACTTAAAGGTAGTGCAATTCACCCCCAAATCACTTACTTTTCCAAAAATTGGGGCCAGCTAGGGGGTGTCTGGGATGCAGCGGAAATCACCTATGGGGAAGTCAGTGCTGTAACAACAATGCTGGCTTGATCCCTTCCTGCCCCCCACCTGCTCACACACCACACACTCATACCACACACTTATACCACACTCACAGCATACACCACACTTATACCACACACGCTCACACCACACATGCACACTCACACCAAACTCATCACAGCCACATCACACACCATACATGCATACACGCCACACTACATGCACACATATCACACACAGCACACATGTATACCACACGTGATCACACACTTATACCACGCTCACCCCACACACTCCACGCACCATACATGCACACACATCACACATATACCACACACACACCCACACACCACATTCACACCCTACACAGCCCACACACACGCTGACACCACACACACCCCAAACACACCATACATGCGCAGACACCACACAACATACATGCACACACCACACACTGCATTCACACTACACACATATACCACACACATACCCTCACACCACACACGCGCACACACACTCTACATACCACACATGCACCCCCCACCCCTCACACACACATGCATACCACCTCCCACCACCCTACACACATAACAGGTTATTCATTCTGGGTGACGGGAATATGGGGGTTGCTCTTATTCACTGTACTTTTTGACTTTCCATACTTCTCCAAATAGAAATAAAAGAGGAGGGCGGAAGAGGAGGAGCAAATTGGGAGTAAAAGAGCAGGTGCTGGGAGCTTCCCGTGGCTCAGGGGTGGCTTCTGGAACGGGAGAGAGCAGGTGACAGCGATGAGGTAGGTCTGCAGAGGAGCCGTGTGCAGGAGCAGAGATGGAAGGGCCAGCGCGCAGGCAGCCTTCGGACTCGGCTGCCCAGCTGGGAGGGCTGTGTCTGCACTGACACGGGTGTCAACAGCAGGGGCGACCTAGAGCGAGTCTGTAAGAAGGAAGGCCGCGACGCCTGCAGGGACCCAGGCCCTCCCAGCCTTAGCACAGCAGCGCTCCTGGCCAAAAACCCAAGTGCCTGCTGCTCACTGTCTCAGAACCCACTTCGAGTACAGAAACATGTCTGTGCATGCACGTGTCTACACAGGTGTGTTTCTGGGGTGTGAACACAGTGCATGTGTACACACACACGTGTATGTGTGTGCATCTGTGTGCCTGGTTCAGGATGTATGTGCACGGACAGCATATGCACAGGGAACACGCTTGTGCCTGAGTGCGCTGGGGTCAGTGGTGCTGGCCAAGTGAGAATGGGGGTGGGCATGAGGGTGCTGGGCGGGGCCAGGGCAGGAACTCATGGAACTGGAGGCCTGTCTTCCCCCTGATACATTCCAGAGGCGGGAGGGGGTGGACAGAGTCTGGGGGCTACTTCTTCACCCCAGGCGCTGCCCTCTCAGAGGACCCAGTAGAAACCCACACAACACCCAGTCTCTGTCTGAGGGGAGGATGGGGTGGGAGGACCCCCTCTAAGTGCACTGTGACTTTGGGAAACACACTTGTTCCCCCTTATCCGCGGTTTCGCTTTCCATGGTTCAGTGTCCTGAGGTCAACTGCAGTCTGAAAATATTAAGTAAAAAATTCTGGAAATAAACAATTTATAAGTTTTTTCAATTGCCTGCCATTCTGAGTGGCATAATGAAATCCCCTGCCGTCCTGCTCTGTCCCACCAGGGACGTGTAGCATCCTTTATCCAGCATCTCCACAGTGTCTATTTGACCTGCCTGCTAGTCACTCTGTAGCTGTCTTTTTTTTTTTTTTTTTTTTTTTGAGACGGAGTCTTGCTCTGTACCCAGGCTGGAGCACAGTGGCACGATCTCGGCTCACTGCAACCTCTGCCTCCCAGGTTCAAGTGATTCTCCTGCCTCAGCCTCCAGAGCAGCTGGGATTACAGGCGCACGCCACCACACCTAGATAATTTTAGTATTTTTAGTAGAGATGGGGTTTCACTATGTTGGCCAGGCTGGTCTCAAACTCCTGACCTCAAGTAATCTGCCTGCCTCAGCCTCCTAAAGTGCTGGGATTACGGGATTATGGGTGTGAGCCACCGCGCCCAGCTGTAGCTGTCCTGATGATCAGAACAAGTGTTGTGGTATCACAGCACCTGTGTTCAAGTAACCCTCATCCTAGTTAATAACAGCCCCAAATCAGAAGAGCAGTGATGCTGGCTTATTGTTCTAATTGTTCTACTATTAGCTATTGTTGTTAGTCTCTTACTGTGCCTAATTTATAAATTAAACTTTACCACACATACGCATGCAGAGGACAAAACATGGTCTATCTAGGGTTCTGTCTAGGGTTCAATGCTATCTGCGGATTCAGGCATCCACCGGGGATCTTGGAATGCATCCCCTGAGGATAAGGGAGGGCACTGCACCTGGGCACTGTGGCTCCAACTGCTGTTCGTCTGTCATGTAGTGACTGACAGGGCTGACCTCATCTTAACCTGCTTACGTCGGTAAAGACCCTCTTTCTAAACAAGGTCACATTTACAGGCACTGCGGGTTAGGAATTCAGTATCAAGGGGATACAGTTCGATCCATAAGTAAGTAAATTCCCAAGTAAATATGTAACCTCAGATTGAGAAGTGCTCTGGAGAAAATAGGGGAATTCACCAAGGCAACCTAATTATGTTCCAAAATATTCAGAACACATTGCTATTGGAAGACCGTTCTCTATCCTTCCACCTGGACTGGCCTCTGTCCCTCTATCCTCAAACATCCCCTGAGGACTCAGCGTTTCATTCCTTGCTGCCCACGTACAGCCCTGGGGCTCTTTGCTCTGCTTCTGGGGTCTCACGCGGAACTCTGAGGAACATGGACGGCCGTCACAGGAACCTCAGTGAGCCCCGAGCAGGCTGGACAGCAAGGGCAGGGGACTGAGGCTCAACAACCAGCCCCTCCCCCAACAGGCCATGGCAGCTCAGCAGACACTCCCATGCTGCCTCCCAAGGCCAAAAGAGGACGTGTTTGCAAAGGGTGTTGTCCTTCCCCTTGCCTGCAGTGATTCAGCCAGCTGAACGAGAACTCGTGGTCACCTTAGGCAGCCACGCTGGACAAAAAAAACAACATGCAACCAAAAGTCCCCTTTGTCCTCGTTCACAATGCTTCTTGCCTAAATTACCCACGTCTGCTGGAAGACTCGGGCGCATTTCGTCTGTACCGAGAGCAATCAGGAAGTTTGGGGTCTGTGGTGCTCCCCAGCACAGCAAGCCCCAGGGCTACAGGGGAGTCGTTAGCTCCCAGGCCAGGGCTCTGTGGACACTGCGAAGACCGGTGCCTGCTGCAGGTGGAGCAGCTGTGAGACCTCCTGGCTCGTCTTCCCAGGGATGCGGGCTTTAATTTTCCATCCTGGCTGCCGTCCCCTTCCATGACCTGCGCTTATGAATGGCCATGTCCAACAAGTGGCATCACCCCCTCCCACTGTCTCCAAGGAGCCTGCTCTGGGGAACGCTATCTTGTTTTTCTAAAGAGCCACGTCTACAAGCAAAGAGGAAGGTGTGTGGTGCCTTCCAAAGTGCTAGCTGCCGGGAAAGGACACATCCCTCACACCTCCTTTTTGAGCTGCAGAAAATGCAGCTCAGAGATGCCAAGTGAGCATCGCACTCAGGAATGCGCTGTGCCCTCCGTGGAGTCAGACTTTGGCCTCTTAAGCAAGAGCAGGAGAAGACGAGGGGGTGGGCAGCAGCCAGGGGCAGGCGCTGGCACAAACAGATGAGGATCTAAATCCACCTGCTGGTCACACAGCCCTGAGCTGGTGCCTCGCCCCTCACAGCCCCTGCTGCAGGTATATAAAGCTGGGCACGGGTGGACAGGACGCAAAGCAGTGATATGTGCCTCCAGTCAGCCCTGAAGGCCAGGGTGGCAGCTTCCCCTAAGAACAGAGGGCGCCTGGGTGGCTGCCCCAAGAGAACAAAGCAGTGCAGACCTGCAGCTCCCCCTGCAGTGAACAGAGCTCTCTGCAAACGTTCTCTGACAGCAATGTACCGAAATCTCTTCCTAACTCAAGTTTACAAAAATTTTGTTTTCTTCTAGAAATTTAATAGTGTTAGATCACATATGTGGGTCTACGATCTGTTAAGGTTCTGTATGCAGTGAAAAGTATGCAGTTCCACTTTTGTGCCAGTGGATACCCAATTGTCTCTGCTCCATTGTTAAAAAGACTTCCCTTTTCCACTGAATTGTCTTTGAATCTTTGTTGGAAATGTGTGTCTGTATCTGTGGGTCTATTTGTGGACTCATTGTGTTCCACTGATACACTGTCTATCCTAATTTCAACACCACACTGGGATTATGGTAGGTTTATGGTAGGGAGGCCTTCGCCTCTGGCCTGGGGTGTTGACGGAAGCTGCTCCCAGGCAGTGGTTCCTGGGGACAGTAGGGGCAGCAGGACCCCGCTGGCCCGCTCTGCACCTTGGGCCGCCTGCCTCTGCTTCCGCTTCCCGCCACCTTTGCTCCACAAGGTCACAGCCCAGGAGACGAGGCAGACTCCTCCAGATTTATGTCCAACACCCAATCTGGGTTTCTGAAGAAACTTCTCTCGGAAACGCCCAGCTTCCCCGGTTTCCTTTGTTCCCAGAACCGGCAGGGAGCAGAGACAAGAATCATGAGCCTCCCAGCAGCCTGGGCCCTGGGGGAACGCCACCACCCTGCTGTGCTTCACATTCCCCAGCCACAAACGGGGACAAGTCTCCCTTCCCCTCCTGGATCCTGCACTCTGTCCTGGAACCTTCCAGAGAGAACAGGCCCAGAGCCTGCAGAACCTGTGTCACCCAGAACCCCCACTGGCTGCACGGGAGACTCGCTGGGGCTTTTGAAGGCCTACACAGTTCTCTGGCTGTGGTGTGAGGAGTGGTGGAGGCTGCAGGAGGACTGAGGGCCTCCGCTGCGGAGAAACCAAGGAAGGAGGGGTGCTGCCTGCCATGAGGTGGCGCTCAGCCTGCCAGCGCCCACATCACAGGGGCTCCCATCCGCCCGCCTGCCCCGGAGCTCGCCCGGCCTCCATCTCCCCGTCTCGGGACATGGTGACTGCGCCCTCACCTAGTTGCTCTGAGGATAGAAAGCAATCCACCGAAGCCTCATGCAGGCACACAGGGTGGACACGCTCAGAACATAGGCCTGGCAGGCAGCCCCTACCAGAGCCAGGCATTCGTTCACACGCATCAGCCATTCTGGGGGAGGAAGGAGGAGAGGCCCCAACTTTACAAGCCCCGTGCCCGCAGATGAGGGGAAGAAGTAAAGATGGAGGCTGTGGGTCCCCATGTGGCGGGGCCCTCTGTACTCCTGCCCCGCCGTGGCGGATAATGGGAAACCGCAAAGGAACACACTGTGGCCGTTTCTTCGGGATGGACCCGCGCGTCCTCACTGCCTTTCTCTCGGGATCCTGGGGCTCAAGTGAACTGATGCCATCCTTGGTTCATCGTTTGTTCATGTAAGGCTCCCTTGTATTTTCATCCGTTCATTTTAATAACGTGATGAGCACTTGTGAACCTACCCCACTCCAAGAAGTGGACAGCAGAGAAAGCAATCAACATGCTTCTTTCTCTCCCATTCCCACCCTGCCTGGCAACCTCCATCTGGAGTTTTCTCCTTCTCCTTTTTCTTAAAAGTTTTAACACATATACACACACTTGCTGAAAAACACACGGCTTGTTGTGCTTGTTTCCAAGCTGTATGGGACGGAGTCACACAGAGTCTTCGGGACTTGTCATTTTCACTCAGTCTTAACGCTATGCAGCACTGGTGCTGTCGCCGTGGCCTTCGCTCACCGTGGCCAGAGCTGTGTGGGGTTTCCGCGTGCAGCGCGCCATGAAGTGCTCCTTAACTCTGGGATGGCACTGGGCTGTGTCTGGCTTGGGGCTGCTCCCAACAGAACTGCCCTGAGATGTGAGCACATGCTCGAGCTTCTCCTGGGGGTGCCTGCAGGGAACCTGCTGTAGAAAGGGCACATGATGTTCAACGTCACACATAGTGCCAAACGGGTTTCCCAAATATTCAGACCGCTGCTCCCCCAGAAGCACTGGGAGAGAGCCACATCCCGCTCAGGCTCGACAGGTTGGACTTCCGAGGTTCGGCCAATCTGGTGGGTGCACAGTGGTCTCCTTACCATCCAGGTTTGCGTGTCCCTGGAGACTAATGTGGTTGACCATCTCTTCCCATGTTTGCCAGCCAAATCACTGAGAAATGCCTGCCAGTCACATATGTATGTTTCTCCATTGGGTTGTAGGTCTTTTTCTTACTGATTGGTAGGATTTTTTTATTTAAATTTCTTTCAGGTGGTTTTGGTAAGCATGTGTTCTTAGCTGGCAAACTTTCAGATCGTACCAACCCTTTCCTCTTTGGCTGGCACTCTTGGGTCCTGTTGAAGACTCCTCGCTGCTGCAGGTCCGCGGCTATTCGCTTGGTGCCCTGCTCTGGGGAAAGGCAGCCCGGGTCTGCCCCACTCCTGCCGAGTGTGCCGGCTCTTCCTTTGCGGGAGAAACCCTTCCCAGAAAAGCACCACTGGGGAGAGGCCCTGCCTCCTGCTCGTGACTTAGGACACACCACAAGCTCCAAGGGACCCATCTGCGCAAATGACAACCACAAAGGACACCTCTGTGGGGAGTCATTGATCTCACAAGGCAGGGAGGGGCCTCAAGGGGTACCCCAAAACAAACTGAGCAAATGCAAGCTGGACCCAAATGGCAGGGTTCTTCAGTGGCCCAAAGTGGACTGGGGTACCCAGCACTCAGGAGGCCAGTGTGCACCAAAGCCCAGGCTCGGGAGGACAGAGCGTTGGGCAGGGGCAGAGCCGGCCAGACTATGGTGACCACAAGGCCAGGCCGGCCAACTGGCCCCTCACAGGCGCAGTCAGCAAGACACACATGTGGCCTGTGATGACACAGACCCTGGACTGGCACTCGAAGGTCAGAGCCAGGATAGGCCAGCCCTGTTCTCACAGGCCTGTGGCCAGCAGGACAGTGCAGCCTCAAGGAACAAGCGAACTGAAACACCAAGAACAGCCCCGTGGGTGCAGAAGCCCTGGGCAGCATCAGCGTCAGAACAGCTGCTTGCAGACCCACCGCCCCTCCCTCCCTCTCAGCCAAGTAACTCAGTGCTGCAGCATCTGTACAAGATAGAAGCACATCAGTGATGCCCCACAGCCACCGCAGGCCCCCGAGGCACACAGACATGGCCATTCAAAACAACCCACAAGGGCAGGCAAGGCTCTCTCCAGAAGACCACGACTAATCCCATCTAGACAGGCCAGGGCAGAAGCACAACACGCCAGAGGCAAGCACCCACCAAGACAGCCTGGCTCCACCACCCCCCACTCCTTCTGCAGGCTGAGAGACGGCGACAACAGCACCCTGGCACTGCACCACCCTGGACCACTCCTTGCTGTGCCAGGCTAAAGGACAGCCGGTCCTGCCCTCACAGAGCACGCGTGGCAAGGTCTCCACTGCTGAGACAGCAGTCACCTGGCTCTTTCACTTTAAAACGCCTCTGTGAGACTGGAACAGGAATTAAAAGAAATTAAAGAACGTGTAAGCAGAAACTCAGTTGTAAGAAAACCCAACTCCCCCTGAGAAAGAGAAAGAGCTGGAGTCCTTTAAAAATTAACTGCCTGTTTTTCTGTGGCTAGTGAGCTTTATCTCTCCCTTTCCCAGGCATTGTGGAGACCCTGATTCCCTAGCTGTGCAGCTGCAAGGTCACAGATAAACTCAAGTCGCAAAACATGTTTCTCCTTAAAAAGTAAGAAATGACATAATGCATGTCTCAATTAATTAAATAACTGTCTTTGTTTCTCGCTTGTGTAATATGCTTCCCCCTGTACAGATCTCCCCCCGCCCCATGAGATGCTTAAAAGGTAACTTAACTCTTTGTTTGGGACTCAGTCGTTTGGATGTTAATCCGACTGGGCTAGTGCACCTAAATAATAAATATCCTCCTGTACCCCATCAGTTTCTCTGATTCCTTAAAAAATCCCGCTACAAGACAGCGGCCGCTCTGGGCTGTGTCTTTCACACTGAGTTCTCTCCCACCCAGCCTGAGGGATCATCTCCCAACTGCTGTGAGCTGAGCCGGTGCTCACAAGACACCTTAGACCCTTCAGGCTTGAGGTCTGTGCACAGCTACCTTCAATGAAGAGCATAAGTCAAGCTGCTCTTCAATGAAGAGCAGATGCCTTTCACTGCTGAATTACCCAGAGAGGAATTCGTGGTTGTGCCCAGGATGGGAAAGGCTTCCAGGAGCCCCAGGGGTGAGGTGTACTCCATACTCAGTGCTGGAAGCCTGGGGCATCAGGAGGCCCCCACTCTGCCCCTCATCCCCGAGTTCCTGGTCGCAGATGCAGCGTCACACCTGAGAGCCAGAGGGAGGTTTCAGGGTGTAATCTAGCCTGTGTGACCCCTTGTTCCTGATGAACACCTGGAACCCAGGCCAGCAGCCTCCCCTGTGCCCACGGAGTAGGCAGTTGCAAATGCACATGCAGGAAGAAGGAAGTCCTTTCTCTTAGATCCCACTCTGAGTTATTGCTGTGGCAACCATTCCTAACGCTCATCTCCTTTTCTCCAGCCCGTCTCAGAAACACGTGGTGAAGCTCCATGATGAAACGCTCTGACCCACTCTGCAGGGTACAGCATTAGCGTTCAGGTCGGCTTCCTGAGCCCAGGAAATGTCCTGGCCCTGGCACAGCAGTGGGTGGCTGGTAGGGCCCTGAGCTAGGCAGGGAGGCCCCTCCTCAGGCTTCTCTGTTCTTTCCCAACCCTGGGAGGAACACCTGGATGGGGCCACCCTCTGTCTACCCCACTGGCCTCAACAGAATGAAAACCAGACTCATGAGATGCTCAAACTCCCAGGCAAGGATCCCCAAGAACGGCAGAGCCCAGCAGGTGAGGCCTCCCATGAACAGCAGAGCCCAGCAGGAGAGGCCCTCAGGAACAGCAGAGCCCAGCAGGTGAAGCCCCCAGAACAAAGGTGTCTGGCAGGTGAGGTCCCCTGAACAACAGTGGTGTCCAGCAGGAGAGGCCCCCGAGGAACAGCGTTGTCTGGCAGGTGAGACCCCCAGGGATAGAGATGTCCGGTAGAAGAAGCCTCCCAGGGACAGAGATGTCCGGTGTCCAGTGTCCAGCAGGCGAGGCCCCCCAGGGACAGAGGTGTCCAGCAGGAGAGTCCCCCGACGAGCATCCTTCTGAATGAGTGCTCCAGAGGAGGCCCCTCTGGAGGTAGGTGGGTACAGTCTGGTGGCGACATCCTGCATGTGCACGCACAAGAGAAGAGCCCATGCAAATCCACAGGGCGAATGCAAAGTCCTGCCGAGGATCCTCTACTCTCTGCCCGGCCCAGGGGTATGTGGGGAAAGTAGGTGAGGTGGCTTTTCTTTCCTATGGACCAGACCCTGCTGTGGGTCAGAGCTAGGGCCTCAGGACAGCACTCCCTCCAGGAGGCAATTATTCTTGAGGAGTCACTCTTCCAGGGCTGTCTTCCCTAGTGTCTTCTGTGAAGCGCCGTTGCTGCTGGTGAGAAGGAGGGGAGAGGAAAGCCATCTTCAGATGCTCAAGAATCTGCCAGGTGTGAGAGGGACCAAAACTCGTCTCTGCAGCTCCCGAAGACATAGCCAGGATGACAGGGGAAGAGTAAGACAAAGGCGTTTTCAACTCCGTGCGGAGAACTTTAAACAGTGAGAACGCTCCAAGAACAGACAGGGTGAGCTGGAGGTTCCTCTCACCTGTGAGTCTTAGATCCACAGCTGCACATCATACTGTCCCTTTTCAGCCCTGTACTGTCCCCTGGGCACAAGAGCTTGCCATCTGCCCTGCATCCTCACACCAGCTGGCATGACCTCCTTGGGACACCCTGTGGATGCCTTCCTTGCCACTGCACACTGTCCCCTGGCCGACGTCACTCTTGACTTTTATACAAGCCTCGGGGAGTCCCTGAACCTCTGACACCTCTGTTTCCTTTACATTTCCTGCAAATTGAAAGTCTGGTCGGGATCAGTGATTCCCAACTCATGCTCCACAGACTAGAAGGGGCTGGACTAGGGTGGCCCGATGGTCAGACGGGCCTGGGAAATGCTGGGCCAAGCAGAGTAAGCAGGTGTCTCTGCTGTGGATTTCTCAGAGCCTTTAACTGGCACCTGTTGTGAATCTCTGAGAGAGCAACAGGGCTTCTAGGCTCCTCTGCCCCTGGTGCCAACTGATCTGCAACATCAGGTAACATCCCTGTGGTGGGTGAGCAGCAACAATCTGGGCCGGTGGTACTGGGGTAAAAGAATTTACCAAGACAGTTGTAGGCAAAGAAAGGCAGATTTATGAGAGAAAGTATGAAAACGCATTCCAAGGTTGCAATGGGCAGAATCAGCAGAAGAGGAGCCAACTGCAAAGAAACAAAGGCTTGCTGGGGATTTTATAGGGTGGTTCTTAGGCTGCAGAGGGCGACGTGCAGAACTAATAACGCCAAGGCAGCCAGGAGCTAACTTGGAGGTGTCTGGCCATAGCTCGGCCCAGGAAGATCATGAGTTACCTGAGCAGGAGGCCTGCGTGTCCTGGACCATGAAGAAAGTCAACTCTATAGCTTATCTGCTTTCTCTTTTTGCTTGCCCTTGGTCCTGCCAGCCTGACTCCTTTTCCCTAATTAGGACTCCACAATCCCAAGAAGCTAACATTCACAGACACAGGCTGGGAGACATCGGCTGACGCAGTTGATGAGGGTCCCTTACGGCACCAACACCGCTTGCTGAGGCTCTGCTGAGACTCAGAAGGTGCCCTTACATGGAGCCAGAGAACAAATCGAGGCCACAGGGGGAAGGCAGGAAGAGCTGCTTCAAAAGAGAAACTTCAGGCTCCCATGAGCCTTTTAACAGCCTCCCTGCAAGGCAGCCACTGACTGATACCAGCCAGGTGATCAGTACAGGAGAGGACGGGGCCCAGGATGGGGCTATCCATCCGGGAGAGGGGGGTGCTTTACAGACTTTTCCAGAAGGTCCCCAGGGGAACCTTCACAATTCAAGGGCAGAAAGGATGTGAGGTCTGGTGAGGTTCCAACAGCCAGAGAGGAGCCAGGCAGGTCTGTTCAGCTTGAGTGCTTGGCCCATCAGCAGCTTGCGTTGGGTCAGAGCCTTCCTCCCTCAGCCCCAACCCCCTCCCTGCTACAGCCCCAAAACAGACAAGTCTGAACAGGTGTGACTAGAGGGAGCCAACAGGCAGGGTCCTTGGTGGGTGACACATGCTCACTCCCGACACTGACTCAGACAGCAGCAGGGAAGGGAAACCCCAAACCATTCAGGCTAGCTGAGTCAGCAGGTACAGTGTGGCCCAGAGCACGGGCTCAGCCCAGCTGACTCCTGGTACCTTGGGGAGGCACTGGGAAGTTTCAGCCAGGGAAGGAATGACTGCTCTGATTTCTATTTCTAAAAGATCCAACAAGCCACTGGAGAGAGAATGACTGAGGGTGGAAAAACAGTCTGGTGAGACAGAAACTGAAGGAGGAAACCAAATGGCTCTGCTGTTTCTGAGTCCACAGGGCCTGGACACAGAACCCCGCTACTCAGTCAAACTCTTACTCTAGGAGTTGCTGGGAGGGCATGTGGTAGCTCCGGGTGACTTCAAGTAAAGGAGCTTGTCCTCAAACATCTGGGTGGACCTCCTGTCAATAGCTGAAGGCCTTGAGAACCACACGGAAACTTCCCTGAGGAAGGAGAGATTCCTCCCATGGACTCAGTGTCAGCTCCAGCCTGAGAGTTTCCAGCCTCCCGCCTGCCCTGGATTTCAGACTTGCCTAACCAGCACCCCCACAGTTGCATAAGCCAGTTCCTCGCCATATATGATGCAGCCACATTAAGCATGAAACATCTGTTTAGCATCCAAATGTGCCAAAGAAAAAGATTTACACTGATCAGAATTTGTTGGCATTTGATGCTGGAGCTGAGTGTGGGGGCTGCTCTGGAGATGGGTCCAGCCCAGGGCAGTGCCCATAGTGAGATACCCAAGAAAGGAGGCCAGCGTGGTTGGAGGAGACCTGGGAGGGAGCTGGCTCAGGCGAAAGGAGGAGGAAGCACTGGTGCTGGGGGCAGGGGAACTTTGACCCCAGTGTATCCGAGTGTCAGGGGAGGCAGGGGGTGGCAGAAGGGGTGCTGGTATCCGAAGGGCAGGAGTGGACTGATGGGGGATGTGTGCTGTCAATGTTTCCTGAGATGGAGCAGCTGTTCCCAGCCACGGTGCAGCTGCATAGGACAGCCCAGAAGAGGCAGAGCTGAGTGACACCAGGGCCAGCTTTGCCAGATAAGCGCAATAGTGGGCAAGCAGTGAGAACATGAAGGGTGTTCCTAACAGAGTGGCTCTAACACGGTGCTGCCATGGAAGTTTTCTAGGGAGGAAGGGGGCCAGCCGGGGTGAGGCACAGGGGGCTGCTGTGCCAATGGGCAGGACCAGCTGTGCCAGGTCCGGGTGTGGGGCCAGCTTGCTGGGATGTGGTCTTAGAACCAGTGAGAAGAAAAGTAGAAACATGCAGGCAAGGGGTTCCCAAAGGGACTTTTCAGAGGGGTGGCAAGGCCAAGGGGCTGGGCGGCCTGGAAGGGCCACCACCAGGATTAGTTCAGGTTGCCCAGAAGCTAGCACCAGGTGGCTGAGGCCACAAAGAGAAGCTGATGAGGGGCGACAGGGGCAGCCAGGGCATTTCCTTTCTGAACTGTCCCCACTCAGATGAAAGCACCATGACTGACACACATCTGTGCACAAGGCGAGTAGCCATGGAGCAGCTCCTCCGAGAGCAGGCAAGGCACGAGAGGCACAGAGAACCCCATTTCAGAGAACCCCATGGTGGCACACTGGGAGAGAAGGCTCCTGACAGAGGGGCTCTGTGAAGCTCTCTGTGGAGTTGCAACTCGCACACGCGTGCACACATTCATACACTCATACACGTGCACACACATGCACAAACCCCCACACACTCACAAGCCTATGTGTGTGCACACACGTGCATACACTCATACGTAAACGCAGCCACCCCCACCCAGCACCAGGTACCCACCCTCGAACTCCAGAGGTTCCTGGGCACAGGTCCTCGAGCCTGTCCAGGGCCCCAGCTCCCAGCTATGCTCATCCCAAATCGCCCTCGAGACTGCCCAGAGCATGACTCCGGCTAGGGCCCCTCTGGGGGCCTCCCTCAGCCTCCTCCAGTTCACAGACCCTTTCCTGATCCTCAGGGCCAGGGCAGATCCCAACCAGTGAACTGGAGAAGAGGGGCTTGGGACACAAGGGGATAAGAAACGAGTGCCCCAAAATGCTGCAGTAACCATTCGCCTCCAACTTGAATGGCCTATCATCCTAAACGTGAAAACAGATGCAGGTGTCAAGCCGATGCTTAGGGAGATACTCAGCCCTCCCAAATCCCAAGAAAGGATTAGGCCTTCCAAAAAATTCTAGTGACAACTTTCTAGGAAGAGCAGGCCTTTGGTGATGGCTGGTCTTGAGGGCTGGGAATGGATGGCTGAGCTCCAGGAGGAACTGAGCTCAGGTGCAGCCTGTCCAAGGGCAGTGGGAGGCTCCAGTATGATGCTAGAACATTCTGTTGCCAAGGAGAAGGTCCGCCCTCTGTATAAAGTTCAGACAGTGCCCTCCACACAGGCTTCTGCCAGCCCTCATGACCTTGCAGCTGGCCTCTCTGTCCTCCCCATTCTTCACATCCAGCCAGTTTCTCCCACACACGGGGCCAGGGTTGCTCAGCCCTTTATACCCGGCCATAATGAGAGAAAAAGCATTTATGCTGAGGTGATTTTTGCCAAGAAAGAAGGCAACCATGGGCTTGTTTCTGTCATTCCTGCTGCACTAACCCTGTCAAAGTGTGACAGCCACTGCTTCCCAGGTGGCAAGACAAGAAATGCTGGGTTGAGAAGCTGGTCCAACGACCTTGAATTTCTGGAGAGAGAACTGGGAGGCCTTGCTCTTCTCCCTTTTCTGGGCTCACAACCCCAACACATACAATCCTTCTTCCACAATGTGGTGGTGAGTCATCCACACTGGGTGACCAATGGAGGCCTGGTCATTATCCAAACAATTAAGCCTCAACAGACCAATTTATCTGGCCATCCACTGTGAAACATATCTCAGACGTTCTAAAAAGATAGGAAAGAAAAGAAAAATTCAGCCTGTAATCTTAGTACTCTGGGAGGCCCTGGCTAGGAGCTTGAGACCAGCCTAGGCAACATAGTGAGACCCCCATCTCTACAAAAAAATATTAAAATTATCCAGGTGTGATGGCACACACCTGTAGTGCCAGCTACTTGGGAGGCTGAGGTGGGAGGATCGCTTGAGCCAAGAAGTTCAAGGCTTCAGTGAGCTATGACTGTGGCACTGCACTCCAGCCTGGAAGACAGAGTGAGACCCTGTCCCTAAAAAAGAAAAAAACAAAAAAATAAGGAAAAGAAAAAGCCAACCCCAACAGAACAAGACCAAAGCTAGGTATCCTCCTGTTTCCCCAACTTCCTTCTGGGACAGCCTCCCTCTAGAACTTTCTGTCCTCCTGGAAAGTGGCCTTCACTTGAGTTCAGCAACATTTATTGGACACGGCACTTATTTGGTCCAGACACTGGGGACGTAAAGAACACAGCCTGGTGGGGGCACAAGGTACAGAAACCACGAGGCCACGCTGGCCCTCCCAGCCTACTGGCCCCAACCTCCCCTCCAAGTGACACCCTGCGGGTGCACATCCTATCCCTCTGCCCAGAAGCCCCTCTTCCTACCACAGCTCCTTCTCTGACTCCTTGGCAGAGCGTGTGTGTCCTTCAAAGTCCAGCTCAGACACCACCCTGACTGCCAGAGCCCCTTCCTACCAAAAGTGTCCCCTCCGCATCAGTGCTTCACTCTAAGCCCCAAAATCTTTCCATTATGGCCAGCATCTACCATCAACTGCCCAATTCAAACCCCAGCCACTCTTTCTAGAATTTAACCTCAAAATCTGTGTCCTCATCTATAGAATAATAATCGTTGCTAAGTTGAATACCTGTATTCAACTGAATTTGAATGTGTATAGGGAGGCGCATGTGAGACCATTCAGATAACAGGCCATACGTGGTGCCTGCACACACTAGCTCTTAGAAAACATCTGCTAAGTATTCTGATGACTGGTTTGAGTCCAACCCCCTGATCTGTGGATCCCTGAATCTGTAGGGTCTGACCCAGGGCCAGAGCACAGAGTTCTGATATTGATCTGTCACACTCACTGTGCCCAGCATTTTGGAGAGCCCTGCAGGGGACGGGGAGGGGGACTTGCCCTGTAGAGAGCTGGGTTGCTGCCCCATGTGCTTACTGGCTTGTGCATTTCATTCCTCAGGTTGTTTGGGCTTGATAAGTGTAAATTACGTAGCCAGTGCATGAATGATCAGGGATACATACTTTGACCTGCACTGGGGCAGGAACACAGGACTTCCTCCTGGACCTGGCTTCCACTGGAGCAGAGCCCAAGGCAGGGCTTTTCCTACGCATAAAGCTCTGTTGTGGTTTTTAGAAACCACCCCCAGGAAGAGGAATGGCCAAGGGAGCAGAAAGGAGGAAATGTCAGCCCCAAAGTTGCATCTTGAGTTGGTCTCCTCCATGGACAACTGAGGCTCTGTCCTTCAGTGACCCTCTGAGGAGCTGGGGAGAATGGAGCTTGTCTGCACATGCCTTGCTTATAGGAGTGCTGGCCTGGTATGGTCCTGGTATCTCACCCTGCCCAATCTGAAAAGCCCAGGAGAGGGCAAAAGGGGCTGTTGGTCACACCTGCATACAACAGTGGCTGGCGCAAAGATAAGTGTGGAAGCTGTGAGGAGGCATAAGAAGTGTCCGGCGCCCAGACCCATCACTCCGCAAGAGACAGGCCTGTTGGTGTCATATGGAGAAAGACCCTAGAGCTCCAAGCTCTCAGGGTGCCAGACCAAAGATTCTGCAAGACCCTTGTCGGCCTGTCACCCAATGGGTGCTCTCTAGAGGACAGAGGGGTAAATGGCAGAGACACCTGAGGAACAGGCTTTCATGACGCCACGGAGCACCAGGTAAACCTCAGACAAGTCCACACTGTGAGGCCCAGGCCCAAGGGGCAGGGGACAGGAGGAGCCCCATGCCCTGTTGCAGGGAAAATCTGCTGCCCTGGCCCAGCCTCTTTGGGGATGCTGCATCAGGACAGCCTCACCCTGGTGGCGTCGCTTGCCTCCAGTGTGCAATGTCTGCAGGAACATCTGGGTCCCTGGCTAGAACCCCTTGTCCTGCCTCTTGAGTGCTCAGGGTATGCTATGGAAATGCAGACGAATTTTAACAAGATCCCAAGCTAAATGCAATCAGGGAGAAATGAAAACTTGGGCAAAACACATCACATGTTCCAAGGTCAAAGGTGAAAGCTGTTTGTGACTGTTGCACACCACTTCAGCTCTCTGTCACAGCCCTGCCTCTCCCCAGTATACCACTCTGATAGTTGAGTGATGTTTTAAGTATGAAAAACTGTCACACCTGGAAGGTGGGGGGGCCCTGGAAACCTGAGCTGCTGGGAAAACGTGCTCCCCTCCTCCATGAGGAGGACACAAGCCCACACCCCTAAGCCACTGTATGGGGCTGCTCTGATGGGGCTTCAGGATGTGCCCCAGCCTGGAAGGAGCTTGCTGATTCTTGCCTCTGAATGGCCATGTCCTGAGCTGGAGCACCTGAAGACAGCTATGGTGCCCAGAGGCCTGGGAGCTGTCGGGTAGCCTGGCCCCACTGCAGGTGGCAGATCTGGGAGCCACAAGAAATGCTCTGCTATTTCATACTATGCATTCTTCAGAGGCTGGTGCAATAGAGTTTAATCAACTTCCTCTGGAAGAGACTATATTCATGCAGACTTGTAAGAAAGAGAAATAACTTGAACTTTGGTTTGTTTGCTGTTCTTGGTGTGCACATTCATAAATCCCTAAAAACCCCGAAGCACAAGCACTGCCCCTGCCGTTCCTGCTCTCTGCTTGGTGGTCAGGCCACTCCATGCAGCAGACCAGCTCAGGCCTATGTGGCCTGGAACCATCTCTTCTACATGAGACAAGGCCGGGACCTCTGCCCCCACCCACAAGCACATGGAGAGGGAGAGGGAGCCCCCTGCCTGAGCAGCAGAGACCCCAGGAAGGAGGCCAAGCCCTCCTCACACAGGAGGTCTCCAGCTGCCCTCTGAGGTGAGGGGTGCCTCTCCCAAACAGCACAAAGTACAGCCCAGACCAGAATGTTTTGGAAGGACTCAGAAACAAGAAAGTGTGTGCTGAGTAAGGGCCGGGGCTGCAAAATACAGGGAAGAGAAGCCACCTTGCAGCCTGGACTGCGGGTTGTGCAAGCCCTGCCGGCTGCAGCCTGCCCTCCCAGGCTGGGGATTAACATGGGAGCAGACGGCTTGGCTCAGAACCAAGTGTGACTAATTGAGAGGACAAACAGGAAGGCTTTTCACCTGCCCAGACCTCATTCAGGGTTTCCTACGAGACGATAGCATCAGGAGCCCTGGCGAGTACAGGCAGTTTTGTTCCTTGCTCTGAGTCTCTTGTGCTGATGACGTCAAAGGGGCCTAAGACAGTGCCCCCAAACCTGGACAGAGTGTGGAGGAGAAAGAAAGCTGGTGAGCAAGCATTTTGGCCTTGAAGACCAGATCGCTCATCCCAAAGCTTGGGTCCCTGGCCTGGGAACTGGGTTTACTGATTCCCCTTGTGATTCTAGCTCCTTTAACCTTAAGACGGAGCCTTTCTTCTGGCAATTACCCAGGAATGGGACTTTCTTCCAGCACAGCAGAGAAAACAGGATTAAGCAAGGGGCTCTGGATCCTAAGACAGCCTCTGGAGCTGGCAGGAGAGTCTGGTGGCTTCTGCACTGGGCCAGACTTCCACCCAGGTTTCCAGTGACAAGGTTTTAAGGGAGAAATGCAAATCTGATGAACATTTAACTCCATGAAGCAGATAGCTTCAGGTTTGTCCTGCAGGATTCAGAGGTCTATGACCCCTGACACATCTACACTTGACCTGTAGCCAAAAATAGTTAAAAAGATTATAGAGCCCTAGAAACCTGGCCCTGTCTTCAGTGCCCACAGGGTAAAACGTATCTTCTGGGCTCATGGGAGAGGTGCAGTCACAGTGCCCTCCTGCCCCCTCATACACGGGGGTGCAGAGCCAGAAGCAAATGGGAGACAAACATTCCCCTAAACCCTAGTTCCAGCCCACACAGCCAAAAGCCAACTCCCCCTTAGAAAACCTTAGTATGCGTGTCAGCCAAATTCCTTAGGGTTGAGGCAGAGGTGTAGCGAGGGAAGCTTGCCGGACTAGAGTCAAGACACAGGTATGTTTAGCATGGGAAGGAAGGTATGACAGTCCCCACACACAGAGACGCAGACAGAGAGAGAGATGCACACAGAGACACACAAAAACATACAGACAAGATACAGAAACAACACTCACAGGCACAGTCACACAGACATACATGCACACATACATGCAGACTCATACAGATAGGCACACACAGAGGCACAGTCACACACAAAGACACACACACACACACACACACACACACACACACACACAGAGACAGACACAGATCTGTGGTCATCTCCACTGAATTGCCAGGGACATCACTGAAACAACTTGAACTCTGTCCACACCTGATTCAGGCAATAAGTGTCTGTGGGTCAGGGCAGGGGTTATGGGTGGATCCCACCGTGGTGTGACTGTGGGGAGAGTCCAGGGCAGCTCAGCAGCCTCCAGGGAAGGACACAGCCCAGGAGAAGTGCTAGGGGAGTCTGGGGCCCTGGTGGGTGGCTTGGACAGGTAGTGGGAGCAGCACCCAAGGAATACGGAGGCCCAACCAGTTGAGTGGCAGAGGCTCTAGCCAGCCTGGGCATGGGTGCCTTTTCCACCCAGGGTAAACTGCAGCCACAGGGGCAGGGGTCCCCGAGGAGAAGGCGGCACAAGGAAGGGCTCTCAAGGCACCTTCTTGAAGACCAGGAAGACTTTGTGAAAGGAAAATAAATCTCGGGACCCCAAAATCACTAAGCCAAAGGGCAAAGTCAAGCTGGTGTAAACCAAAAATAAAATTCTAAGTCCCCCGACAAGAACGGACCCTTCCTCTCAGCAAGGGCATTCCAAAGCTAACCTGAAAAACAAGTTCAGGCCATGATGGGAAGGGAAGTCAGGCATGACTCATTATACCCTCTTCCCTTTTGGAATTACTGATAGAATAGGGTCTTTAAGTCTGATAAGAAACATTTACAATCTATTGTCTCCGAAGCCTGCTACCTGGAGGCTTCACCTATGGTCTCCACAAACCCTTATCTTAACCCAGACATTCCTAAGTCTTTAGACAATAACTTAACTCTTTCAACCAACTGTCAATCAGAATATCTTTGAATCTACCTATGAGTTGGAAGCCCCCACCTTCCAGTTGTCCCGCTTTTCCAGACCGAACCAAAGTACATTTACATGCATTTGATTGATGTCTCATGTCTCCCTAAAATGTACAAGCTGTACTCCATCCACCTTGGATACATGATCTCAGAACCTCCTGGGGTTGTGTCATGGGCCACTGGTCACTCATATTTGGCTCAGAATAAATCTATTCAAATATTTTAGAGAGTTTGACTCTTTTTGTTGACACTGGGAACTGCGTCAGGCCTCCCATTTTATTCCTAAATAAGATAGCTACAAAGATTAAAAAAAAGCTACATACCTCCTTCACAATTTGCCTCAAGATCTATACCCTAAAACAGTTCTGTTGATTTTCACCCTGGCAATGTAAATTGGTAAGTTATCTTCACAGGTATGGGACAAAGGACAGAACTCAAAGTCATCCCTCTGGTCACCTGAGACAAATGCATATCTGATGGCTTCCTCTGCCCTATTGTTTATGTATAAAAATGAAGATTTGGCCGGGCACAGTGGTTCACGCCTATAATCCCGGCACTTTGGGAGGCTGAGGCGGGTGGATCACCTGAGGTCAGGAGTTCGAGACCAGCTTGGCTAACATGGTGAAACCCTGTGTCTACTAAAAATATTTTAAAAATTAGACAGGCGTGGTGGCACGTGCCTGTAATCCCAGCTACTCGGGAGGCTGAGGCAGGAGAATCACTTGAACCCAGGAGGCAGAAGTTGCAGTGAGCCAAGATTGCGCCACTGCACTCCAGCCTGGGCGACAAGAGTGTGAAACTCCATCTCGAAAAAAAAAAAAGTGCAGATTCACTGAGCCAGGCTTAGGCATAAGTGACTATTCCTCTCTACCTGCCTCTCACATGTAAATTGTATATTCAGTGAAAGGCTTATCAAAGACCCAAAAGAATGCAACCTTTTGTCTCTTGTTTACCTATGACCTGGAATGCCCTCCCACTCCTCCCAGCTTCCAGTCGTGCCATCTTTCTGCACTGAACCAATGTACTTCTTACACATATTGACTGATGACTCATGTCTCTCTAAAATGTACAAAAGCAAGCTGTGGCCCGACCACCTTGGACACATGTCGTCAGGACCTCCCGAGGCTGTGTCACGGGTTCATCCTTAACCTTGGCAAAATTAACCTTCTAAATTGATTGAGGCAAGTCTCAGATACTTTTGGGTTCACAACCTGATGAGAGAACAGAAAGGCCCCAGTCTGCTGATTGCCACCCTCAACATAGCACACCCACATACCCCCAAATACAGCACACACACCCCAACACGGCACACACAGAGGCTGCTGCTCCAAGCAGCACAACAGCTCATGGGACATTCAGGTGCTGCCTCCCCTTCCCTGGGCTCAGGGCCAAACCTAAACTACCTCTAAGGAACAGGTATCTAAGCCAACACATGCACCCCCAGCCCCTTTACAACAAGTTTCACAGAACCTTAGGTACAGAGAGGTGAGAAATTTCATCCAAATGTAAGAAAACAGCCTTCTACTCTCATAATTGAAGGAAGTGTGCTCAAATGCCAAAGTGTAGTACTAAGTTTCTGGAAAACTTACTTCCCTGGCTGAGGGTGGTGGAGGGAAGGACACTGATTCATCAAGAAGAGGAAAATATTCCAAGTACAATGTATAAAGGAGCAGGCATGCGATATATTTTTTAAGAATTTCCATTAAAATGGTTCTTTCAAAAAAAAGCTCTGATGCCTAACGGGTGAGCTTCAGCTCCCAGCAAAAATACACACTTTGTGAATTGTAGGCTCACTCCACTCTGTCCTTAAGTAATCTTAACCTCGTCTAAGTTTCAGATGCCCCTTTATTTCTCTTCTATCAGTATTTGGACTAAAAAAAACAAAAAGAAAAGAACAAAGCAGAAGCACCCGCTATTGCAAGGTATGCTCTTACCTGCCCCTCTCCCTGCCCATTCTGGCTTGGTCATGTCAGCCCTGGGCTGTGACCACCTGCCTGCCCAGAGCAGGGGACATCTCCAAGGGAGAGGTCCTGTTAACTCTAAGCCTAGCAATGTCCTGTGCTGGCTTTCTGGCCTAGAGCAGGGAGAATTTGTCCTGCTCCTGCCCTGGTTTGTCTCAGCTCTGTGGAATCTAAAATAAAAGACTGAAAGAGAGGACTACTCAATGATTCTAAGCAAGGTAAGATAGGTTGTAGTGATACCTGAGCATGCAGCTCATGGAGACAGGAATGATAATTTTATAAACTGCTGCAGATACTGAACAGAACCTTTTAAAAATCAAGGCTTTTGATATTGATAATTAATCTCTGTCTCTCCCTATTCTTTTCTTTTCTTTTTTTTTTTTTTTTTTTGAGACGAAGTCTTGCTCTGTTGCCCAGGCTGAAGTTCAGTGGTGTGATCTCGGCATACTACAACCTCTGCCTCCACAGTGCAAGCGATTCTCCTGCCTCTGCCTCCTGAGTAGCTGGGACAACAGGCATGTGCCACCATGCCCACCTAATTTTTGTATTTTTAGTAGAGACAGGGTTTCCTGTTGTTGGCCAGGCTGGTCTTGGACTCCTGGCCTCAAATGATCCACCCGCATCAGCTTCCCAAAGTGCTGGGATGACAGGGGTGAGCCACCACACCCGGCCAACTCTCCCTCTTCTTTCTCAATGTTATTGTGTGATCAGGCAGCCACAGGAGCCTGTCACTTATCAGCACATCTTGTCTCAATACCAGCCTGGTGGGGAGCAGGGGTTACTGCCCCCCACCACACCAACTACTTCCCATTCTCTTCCCACCCTCTTGACCCCATGGGCCTGCTGGTGGCAGCAGAGTGGCACATTGGCCAGAGAGGCTGCAGACCCTCTGCCAGGGGGTGAAGCAGCTCATCGCCAGAACTGCAAATGCCCAGGCGCAGGACAGACACTGGCCTGAAGGCAAAGGACCCTAGATGAGGTTACGGGCCCAGGGAAAGGGAGGTGACACCAAGAGGCACAGACTGTAACCGCAACTCTGTCACTAGAGTCCAGTATCCTCACCTGCAGAGTGTGGCTGGTGATGCCGACCTCACGGGGTGGCCGTGAGGACTGACTGAGCTGAAGGAAATCAGGCAGAGGTTCTGAACTGCCACCAGGAAGCCAATGCTTTGTTTTCAGCTATGGGACTACCGTTAATGTGGGACGCCTTACAGTGTCATAGACATCATTAAATGCTTTCAATGCTCAAGTGCCTGGTTATGTGCCTGGTACTACACTAGGCCACACAAATTCCACAAGCCCAGGGCAAACGGCTCCTTACCAAAAAGTAAATGATCCTGGGGGGAATCCTACAAACTCCCAGAAACTGCAGATGAAACATCAGATAAGCATGTCCATACACTTTTGTATACAGAAGGTTTCTCAGATTCTCAGAGTGGCCCATGACCCTGTAACAGCTAAGAACCACAGTTCTAGGGCTTATGATCCAAAAAGAGAGTAGGTATGAGCCATGGCCAAAGGAAAGGCTGCTGGTGCCAGCGACTGAGCATGAAGGCACAGGATGGCAGAGGAGATGCTTTCCTCCCCGGTGGGCAGGTGGCAGGCCCCACTCCAGCAGGGACCTATCACCTTCACGTCAGCCCATGCTATGCAGGACCAAGTGTGTGTATGGCAGCTGGGCAAAGTATCCAGTGAGAACATGCACACTTGGGCCTCAGATCTGGGTGTGGCTGGAGTCTGTGGGGAGAGTGAAAGCTTCACCTTGGGGAGGCATGTTTGGAAAGAAACTCACTTCAGCAGTCTCGAGGACTTTTGCCATTTGAGGTGCTGGGGGTGGGGAGGGCAGCGATGACTAGAGGCTGACAGTGTGGTCATCTGACAATCTTAAGAGCAGGTTCCACTTTTTTTTTTTTTTTTTTTTACATTTTTAAGTGTGAATCAGAGGCTGCTCCTGCCCCAGGCCCCACAGTCATCGCACAGAGCAAGGCGAGAGGTCTCCCAGCCAGCACCTGAGCACTCTCTGCTGCCCTTCAAACATACACCAAGCCCACACTTACAGGGCCTTTGCACTTCTTCCCAAAGCCTGCACTGCTCTCAGACATCGAAACAGTAATATTTTGCATAACACCATTTAACCTGAAAAGTTGGGCTGCAAGTATGACTTCAATTAAAAAATATAATAGACTATGTGAGTGGGAGTCATTTTTCCAGCTAACAGTCATTTTGTGCTGAGTATGATCTAAGAGCATTAAATGTACATTTATGGCGGGAAAAGCAGCAACTTAGGGAGCTCCACTGGAACAATATAAAATCCTATAATAAAGGCTATTCATGGCCAGGTGCAGTAGCTCATGCCCGTAATCCCAGCACTTTGGGGAACTGAGGCAGGTGGATCACTTGAGTCCAGGAGTTAGAGACCAGCCTGGACAACATGGTGAAACTCCATCTCCCCCAAAAAATACAGAAAATTAGCCAGGTATTGTGGCACACACCTAGAGTCCCAGCTGCTCTGGAGGCTGAGGCAGGAGATCACTTGAGCCCAGGAGGCAGAGGCTGCATTGAGCCGAGATCACACTCCAGCCTTGGTGACAGAATGAGATCCTATCTCAAAAAAAAAAAAAAAAAAAAAAAAAAAAAAGGCTATTCATGAAACCAAATAATTTAAACATATGGTGAGCATATGAGCATAGTATTCATAAGTGTTTCAGTTTTGAAAATCACATTTGTAATACCATTTTCAAATAATAATTATAAAATTCAGCAAGTAGTGGTGGGAAAACTGAAATATCCACATGTAAAAGAATGATGCCGGACCCTTAGCTGAACGATATGAAAAAAATTGACTCAAAATGGATCAAAGATCTAAACTGAAGAGATAAAACTATAAAACGAAGAAGAAAACACAGGAGAAAATCCTTGTGACCAAACATTTGACAATGATTTCTTGGATATGACACCAAAAGCACAGGCAATAAAAGAAAAAAATCAATAAACTAGATTTAACCAAAATGAACTCTTGCACATCAAAGGACACTATTAATAGAGTGCAGAAGCCCAGAGAATAGGAGTTAATACCCGCAAATCCCACATCTGATAAGGCGTTCGCTCCTGTAACTCAACAACAGAAAGCAAACAACCCAACTCAAAAATGGGCAAAGGCCCTGAATAGACTTTTCTCCAAAGAAGAGATACAAACGGCCAATAAGCACAAGGAAAGATGCTCAACATTATTCGTCATTAGGGAAATGCAAATGAAAACCTCAATAAGATGCATTTCACACCCATTATCAATGGCTATTATCAATAAAACAGAAAATAACAAATGTTGATGAACACGTGGAGAAACTGGAGCCCTTGGGCACTGCTGCCGGTGGGGATGTAAAGTGGTGCGGCTGCTGTGGAAAGCGGTTGGCAGTTCCTCAGAGAGCTACACACAGAATTACCATGTGATTCAGCAATTTCACTCCTAAGTACACACCCCAAAAAATTGAAAGCAGAAATTCAAACAGATACCTGTACCCCAATGTTCACAGCAATACTATTAACAACAGCCAAAAGGTGAAAACAAGCCAAGTGTCCCTCAACAGATGGATGAATGAACGAAATGTGCTGTGTCCACACATGGGATGATACAGCCAGAAGAGGGAACGAGTTCTGACACACGCTACAACACGGATGAACCTTGAGGTCACGATGCTAAGTGAAATACGCCAGACCCAAAAGAACAAAGATCATATGACTGTACTTCTATGAGATGCGTGGAGTAGTCAAATGCATGGAGACAAAGAAGAGCAGATATTAGGGGCCAGGGGAGAAAGGTTTAGGGAATGTGTTGTTATATAACGGGTACAGAGTTTCTGTTTGGAATGAAGAAAAGTTTCAGAAATAGATAATGGTAATGATTATAAAACACTATGACATACTTAATGCCACTGAGTCTTCACTTTAAAATGGTTAAAACATAAATTTTATATTAGGTATATTTAACAATTTTTAAAACTTTTAAAATTACAAATTAAAAAGGACAGTAACAACACTTTTCATCTCATAGCATGCACTAATTAGCACAAAGACTCCGATTTCTTAGTCTACATCTGGAGATAAATTTAAATGTGTGCATTCTCAGAGCAGAGAGGCAGCCATGGCTCTTAAAGATGAGAGTTTGTGAAGACAGAGGTGTACCAGTTATCTCTTGCCCTTCTTACCTGAGCCTGGACTCAAAAAGCATCCAAAGACCTTTCAATGCCCTATAGGATGCCACATCCTACACTACATCAGGGTCTATACTCAGGATCCTACACTGGTTGGAGAAGTTCTGAGGCATTCTCAGCATCTATGCCATGGAAGAAAACAGAACAAACTTCAGGACTTCTCAGAAATTAGTAAGTCTGCAAAAGTTTTTATCAACCTTTTCCATTTATATTAACGTGTGGCAAAATAGCTAATGGCAGGTCCAGCCGAATCAATGGAATGGGCAGGCACATTTACAAGCTTTATTCAAAACCTCTGTAAACCAAAAATAAAATTCTAAGCCCCTCAACCATCTGAATGGACCCCTCCTCTCAGCCAAGGGCCTTCCAAAGTTGGCCTGAAAAACTAGTTCAGGCCGTGATGGGAAGTGAAGGTCAGACATGCCTCATTATGTCATGATGGGACGTGGAGGTCAGACATGCCTCATTATGCCCTCCTCCCTTTGGAATTCAGGTACAACTGACTGGTATAAACATTAAAACAGAGATCTTGAGACTTTTTGTTGCAATCAGACACCAAATTCTAGCTTGACTCTAGTATAGCATCACATGACAGACACCAGGCCATGAAAGAAATCAAAATATTTTACCCAAAAATACATTTCTTTGACATATTTTGAAAGGGCCCTGCAAAGCTGTCTCTTGTGGGGAAAAATCTACATTCTGTAGAGAATCCTTTTCCTCTTCTCTGATCCAGGAGAGAATTAACTAAGAGTCTGGTACCTTAAGTCTGGTAAGAAACATTTCCAATCTATTCTCTCTGAAGCCTGCTACCTGAAGGCTTCATCTGCATAATAAAAACCTTGGTCTCCACAACAGATGCTCCCTCCTAGGGATTCCAGGTCTTCTGATAATAACTTAACTCTTTTAACCAATTGCCGATTAGAAAATCTTTGAATCTGCCTATGACCTGGAACACGCCCCCCGCCCCCTCCAATTGTCCCGCCTTTCCAGACAAAACGAATGTATCTTACATCCTACATCTATTGATTGATGTCTTATGTCTCCCTACAATGCATAAAACCGAACTGTGGCCCATCCACCTTGGGCACATGTTCCCAGAACTTCCTGGGGCTGTGTCACAGGCCATTGGTCACTCACATTTGGCTCAGAATAAGTCTCTTCAAATATTTTACAGAGTTTGACTCTTTTCATCAACACTTCCTTGACCCCGGCCTGACTTCCAGCCTTGGTCTAATTTTCTTCAGGCTCCAGACCTGTGATCCTATGCTTGGTACTTTAATTAACTTTAAAATCCTCTGGAATGAGTGAATGGCACAGGCGATATAACTGTAGGGAACTAGAAGAACTCTGTGGCATGAGGCTTATCCCAAGCTATGCCACGAGGAGGCATGGGTCTCCAAAGCCCCCCACGAAGTCTCCATATTGCTCTCCGTCAGAACAAGGATTTGCTCTTTTCGGACTGAAGAGAAAGCAGCTCTGATGGTTAATGAGCTGCCAGACAGCAAGAGGAATGCTCGGAGCCATGTGGGGGAAGGGGTGAGGAAGGAGGGAGTCAAGTCTGACGTCGGGCCTGCCAGGTTTCACACCTTTACATACAAACTGATGGTACCAAGGAGAAAAATAGTTCCTTAACTTAATAAATGTAAGAGGAATTCTGTTAAAATTACATTTCAACGCTGGGCATGGTGGCTCACGCCTGTAATCCCAGCACTTTGGGAGACCGAGGTGAGCGGATCACTTGAGATCTGGAATTTAGACCAGCCTGGACAACATGGTGAAAACATGTCTCTACTGAAAGTACAAAAATTAGCCAGGCATGGTGGTGTACGCCTGTAATCCCAGCTACTCAGGAGGCTGAGGCAGGAGAATCGCTTGAACCCAGGAGGCGGAGGCTGCAGTGAGCCGAGATGGAGCCACTGCACTCCAGCCTGGGCGACAAAGCAAGACTCTTGTGTCAAAAAATAAAAATATAGGCCGGGTGCCATGGCTCATGCCTGTAATCCCAGCACTTTGGGAGGCCGAGGCGGGTGGAACACCTGAGATCAGGAGTTCAACACCGGCTTGGCCAACATGGCCAAACCCCATCTCTACTAAAAGTAACAAAAATTAACTAGGCCTGGTGGCGGGTGCCTGTAATTCCAGTGACTCAGGAGGCTAAGGCAGGAGAATTGCTTGAACCCAGGAGGCGGAGGTTGCAGTGAGCCAAGATCGCACCACTGCGCTTCCAGCCTGGGCAACAAAAGCGAAACTCCATTTAAACAAACAAACAAACAAACATTTCAAAATATATGCACTATTTTACTTTGTCTGATTTTAAAATTCACGAGATCTGCAAAGTACATGCTTTTTATGAATACCTTTTAAAAAACTGAGTAGGTTTTCTTTAGATAACTAGTTGTAGAAAAATTAAAGAACCTGTGTTTTCCTGTTGACCTTCATATGAAGAGCAGGAGGCAGATCACTCCTTAAAACTGGCCTTATGTACTTTTCCTAGGATATACATTCAAAATATGGAGTTGTCACATGTTTCTTCCTAAAAGAGTTTTCGTAAGAACTCTTGCTATTCTTAGCACCTCAAAATCAGGAGAAAAGAAATGATCCTTCTTAAACACATCCATCCACTAATTAGCTAAACTACACAACATCCAAGAGTCTGGCCAACGCTCACTCCTCTCTATACACTGTTGACCCCATCTCTGGCAGAAAGAGGTCCTGTAGTTCTAGAGGCAGCATTCCCCATTACCTTATTAAATAAATAGCAATCAAAAAGAAGATAGCACCATGCTATTAAGTATAGAAACACAACATTCTTAATTTTATTCACCAATAATCAGGACCTACAGAACCACACAGCACAGATGGATCGATTTCTGCCTCCATGAATTTTAAATTGCCTTTTGCAACATTCCTCTGGCTCAGATGAGCTAGTGTTCCACAATATGCTGGCTCGTGAAATCCAAGCAACTGTGCCTTCCTCTACACTTCTTCACTCAGCCTCAGCCTTAAATTGCACACTGCCTATAAAAATGTACTTAAAAGAAAAATGAAGTTACTCTAAAATGCCATATGCAACAAAACAGCTTATTCTTGTAGATGGGGCTGCCACTGGTGGGGTGCACCTGCATTTGTTTTGCTCTTACAGCATGCCCAGAGCCCAGCAGCCCTCCAGCATCACACCGAAGGAAGCAGCCCAGGAAAAGAAGGGAATGTGTTCACGTGACGTGACTTTAAGGATTGATTTAAATGGTGACATGGTTACGCTTTGCGTCCCCACCCATATCGCATCCTGAATTATAATCCCCATAATTCCCATGTGTCAAGGGAGAGACCAGGTGGAGGTGACTGGATTATGGGGGCGGTTTCCCCCATGCTGTTCTCGTGATAGTGAGTTCTCAAGAGAGCTGATGGTTTTATAAATATTTGGTAGGTTCTCCTGCATTCATTCTCCTTCCTGCCACCTTGAGAAGAAGGTGCCTTGCTTCCCCTTCAACCATGATTGTAAGTTTCCTGAGACCTCCCCAGCCACAGTGAACTGTGAGTCAATTAAACCTCTTTCCTCTATAAATTACCAAGTCCCAGGCATTTCTTTACAGCAGTGTGAAAGCAGACTAATACAAAAGGCAACTCTCACCAATCATGGTGTCCATGAGAAATGAAGTGTATTCTCCCTTGCTCTCTGCCAGTGGCCTAGAAAACAAGCTGGATGGCAACCAGTAGGTAGATAACACAGACATGGCAGGGCCCTGGCATACAGGCACACCCATGCACAAAAAGGGAGCTGGAACTATCATTTCATTTATGGAATCTCAACTAACTGCATGTGTTCTAATCTATTATACAAGTTGTTTTTACAGCATTTGTTATAAGAAAAATAGGACTTCTAAGTTTATAGCCAAAGGGCCCAGAACAGTTTAAGGAAGAGTTTTTTTTCCACCAACCAAGAGTAGCATGGTAATATGCAGAAATCTAACTTCCTAATATCAAGTTTAGATTTTAGACAGCAAGGGTCGTAATACAACTCTTCTGATTTTCTTTATTCAAAAATAAAAGAGGCACAAAAAATATAGAACTAAAATGCCCAATGTCATCCGAAATAGCAGGTTCACCAAAAGGTTATAAAAGTAAACTTGCATTTTGGGGGGATTAATTACAATTACTAGAGAGAGAATGAATTGCTTTTCAAAGAAATGTATCTCAAGAAAATGCTGACTAATGGGGTAGATGGTTATTCAATTTCCCTGTTTTATAGGTGAACCTACAGGTCATGGTCTGCTGAGCAGCAAGAAGCTGCCCTAAGCAAGCCCTCTTCCAGCCAGCACAGACATGGACCACTTTTCCAGAAGGACAGGTTCTTTCATGGCCTCTCCTTTGGCAAGCTTAACCAACCACCTACAAGCACTCTCACTTCCAAGACAAAGTTATGTGGGATACATATCAATTCATGTCCATCTCTAGTCAATCACATTTTGCCAACTCTAACACATGGTACATGGTGATGGTTTTGGAGTATCAAATGAGGGATCTGGGGAGAAGGGACACCGGCATTTTCACCAAAACCCTGGTGGCCGAGCACACCTACACATTATGCTCCAGAGTGCGGAGATCTTCCAGGAGCTCCTGGGCTGCGGTTTGCAGGCGGGGGTTGCGGCTCTTGGACATTGCCAGGATGCGTTGCAGGGGCAGGGAGCTCCGGAACTCAGAGGCCGACTTGGAGAAGACTTCAGGTTCCAGAACCACAGACTGGACAAGCCTCAGTACATGAAGGCACACCTCTGCATCTGGATCTAGGGAAAAGAGGTAATGCTTCTGGTTAGAATAAAATTTTCTTTTTTCTTTTTGTTTTATTTTTTTGAGACAGAGTCTCGCTCTGTCACCCAGGCTGGAGTGCGGTGGCATGATCTCTGCTCACTGCAACCTCCGCCTCCCAGGCTCAAGAGACTCTCCTGCCTCAGCTTTCCTCTGTAACTGAGGCAGGAGTTTCCCAAGTAACTGAGATAACAGGTGTGTGCCACCATGCCTCGCTAATTTTTTGTATTTTTAGTAGAGATGGAGTTTCATCATATTGGTCAGGTTGGTCTCGAACTCCTAACCTCAAGTGATCCACCCACCTTGGCCTCCCAAAGTGCTGGGATTACAGGCGTGAGCCACCGCGCCTGGCCTAGAATAAAATGTTCTACTGCAATCTACCCCTCAAGGGGTTCCTGGCCTTTCTGAATAACACGTTTGACAGTTTAGAAAACTACAGGATAACCCAGAAACACAGTCACTGCTTGATATAAAAGCTTAGCTCATAAAAGCAGCATCAAAAAACTCAATAGTCTAATAACCATCATCTTCAAATATTACAGTCATACAATTTTAAAGTGTTAAACTAGAAAGATGAGGGCTTTCTCTGTTTGCTAGTGAGGACTAAACTCTGATTTTTTTTATCTTGCCCAAATTCCTATCTAAGGGGTCTGGGGAGTCATGTCCTACAAATCACAAATTCTCATCAGATGGGTTTTATTTAACCCTATATATCATGACTTTCCAACCTGACTCTGGCATAACATTATGAGACAAGAAAGAAAATAAAAATACTTTACCCCAAAATATGTTTCTTTGCCATATTTTGAAATGGCCCTGCAAAGCTGTTCTTTGTGGGGGAAAATCTGCATTTGTAAAGAATCTCTACTAACATAGCTAGATCTTTTTCTTCGAGACCCTCCTAATCCTAAAGAGATTAACTAAGATCTGAATAGGAAACATCTGTCATCTATTGTCTCTAAGGCAGCCACCATAAGACTTCAAAAGAACTTGGATGTCCACAATCTTTACCTTAACCTGAACATTCCCTTTCTATCAATCCCAGGTCTTTATCAATCAGAAAATGTTTAAATTCACCTATAGCCTGGAAGCCCCACGCCCCCCAGCTTTGTCCCACTTTTCTGGACCAAACCAATGTATTTCTTAAATGTTTTTGATTGATGTCTCACACCTCTCTAAAATGTATAAAGCCAAGCCGCACCCAACTACCTTGGGCACATGTTCTCAGGACCTCACTCATATTTGGCTCAGAACAAATCTCTTCAAATATTTTGCAGAGTTTGACTCTTTGTCGACAGTAGCATTCTGTCCACTTATAAGATTGTTTTAAAAAGTATTACTTCTTTTTCACTCCAATTGCAGCAAATCCCTCAGGGACCACATACAGATACAGCACTTATCAGGGCCACTGAGTTTACACAATGTCACTGGGTATATAAAATTCACGTTGTTTATTTTCCATGGGAATGGCCCCAGGACTTATAGAATCTGGTAGCCTTGCATACATTGTAGCAACCACTAAAAAATAGCTAGACAAACCCACTGGAAGCTTCAATCCATCACCAGAGTGGAGCCAACTTTCCTTACCATTCCTCTCTACTGGCAGCCTTTACGATGCCGTAAATTCACTCCTTGACTGGGTACTGCAACTGGAACCAGGCTCAAAATCAGCACCTCTTTCTTAGCACATTTACTTAACAAATAAAAAAATTAAAAAAAAACCTTTTAAGATGTAGACTGAAAGAGCAGACTGAACAGTCTCTCAGTGGGAGCTGCCACAGCACTAAGCCCTAACAAGAAGCTTCTCACCTACAGAATCAGAAGACTGCTGTGGCCAGGGAAGATAAAAGGCAATCTGCTCTAGCCCTCAGGGAGGGTCCAGGAGCCATCTTAAGCCAGCCTGTTAGAGTCCTCCTACTTTGGGGGAAGGGAGGGGAACTTTCTCTAGTAGAGACCTGCCAAAGATAAGGGGCAGCTAAGGCAGACACAGAGGCAAGGCCAAAAGCCATGGGTGAAGACGCTTTGGCAACTCAGCCCTCATCCTAAGCTCAAGGAAAGGTTAGAGGAATTTGAAGCCAGTGGGATGGAAGGTACATACACAACAACAAAACCCAGACCCACCTTAACTCCCCAACAATGAAAACCCAGCGGAAAAAGAGGAGTGGCCATTCCTGAATATAACACTATCTACCCACCTCATTCCCCTCTACAGAGAGGGTACGCATGGCCCAGAGGCCAAAGGTAGCCCATGACCCGTTTCTGTACAGCCTGCAAGCTAAGAATGGTTTTACTTTTTTTTTCTTCTTCTTCTTCTTCTTTCCTCCTCCTCCTCCTCCTCCTCCCCCCCCCTCCTCTCCTCCTCCTCCTCCTCCTCCTCCCCCCCCCCTCCTCCTCCTCCTTTTGGAGACAGGGTCTTGCTCTGTCTCCCAGGCTGGAGTACTCTGGTACAATCATGGCTCACTGCAGTCTCAATCTCCTGGGCTCAAGCCATCCTCCCACCTCGGCCTCCCAAGAAAGAGGGACCACAGAACATGTGGCCACGCCCAGTTAATTTTTCACATTTTTTTGTAGAGACGGTGTCTCACCACACTGCCCAGGCTGGTATCAAACCCCTGGGCTCAAGCAATCCTTCCACCTCAGTCTCCCAAAGGGCCAGAATTAGAGGCATGAACCATTGCAGCCTGCCAGGTTTTACATTTTTTAAGGGTAATTTTTTAAAAGTAAAAACCAGAAGAATAACATGCAACAGGGACTACACGTGGCTCTCAAAACTCAAAATATTTATTTGGCCCATTACAGAAAAAGTTTTTTGACCTTGCCTACTGCCCTCCACACAATGTCCAACACTGAAATCAAAAATTACAATGAAGAGGCAATGGAGGCCAGGCGCAGTGGCTCACACCTGTAATCCCAGCACTTTGGGAGGCCAAGGCGGGCGGATCACGAGGTCAGGAGTTTGAGAACAGCCTGGCCAACATAGTGAAACCCCATCTCTACTAAAAATATAACAATTAGCTGGGTGTGGTGGCGCACGCCTGTAATCCCAGGTACTCAGGAGGCTGAGGCAGGAGAATCCCTTGAACCCAGGAAGCAGAGGTTGCAGTGAGCTGAGATTGCGCCACTGCACTCCAGCCTGGGCAACAAAGTGAGACTCTGTCTCAAAAACAAACAAACAAACAAACAAACAAACAAACAAAAGAAGGCAAAGGAAACAAAAGGCTCATTGTCAAGTGACAATCAACAGAAGCAGACACACAGATAACCTGGAATAATAATACAGGAATTTCAGAAAAAGAATCTGAAATAAATATGATCAATAGATGGGAAAACACTGTTTTAAGGTACTTACACTATACCTGAAGCAGCGGATTATTATTTAAAGGTAAACAGTCATGCAATGTATAACATTTCAGAGAGCTTCATTGTCAAATTCTATCAAAAAATTAGAACAGAAATAATAGAAATTTTAAACAAGTCTTCCAGAAAACAGAAAAGGAGGAAATAAGTCAACTTTTTTTTATGAGGCCAGAATTACACTGACACCAAAACTAGATAAAGATGTTAAAATAAAAGAACAGACCAATATCCCTCATAAACAAAGACACGAAAATCCTAAACAAAAAAATAGCAAATTGCATTCAGCAATATATAAAAAGGATAATACTTCACAGCCAATAGACACTTATTCTAGGAATGGAAGGCTGGCTCATTATTTGCAAATCAGTCAACATCACCTACCGTAACAACAGACTAAAGAAGAAAAAAAAAATTATCTCTTCAATAAATGCAGAAAAGCCTTTTGACAAAATTCAACATCTGTTCATAACAGTAATAATAATAATAAACCCTCAACAAAACAGGAATAAAAAGGAACATCCTGAACCAGATTAGGGGCATCTACAAAAAACACACAGCTAACATCATACTTAATGATAGAAGACTGAATGCTTCTTTCCTAAGATGACGTACAAGGCAAGAATATCCTATCACCCCTATTCAAAATCATACTAGAGATCCTAGCCTGTGCAGTAAGGCAAGAAAAAGAAATAAAAGGTTTATTGATTAGAAAGGCAGAAATGAAACTGTCTCTATTTGCAGATGATATGATTGTCTATACAGAAAATCCCAAAGAAACTAGAAAAAAAGTTATTAGAACTAATTGAGTTTAGCAAAGTCACAGAATACAAATTCAACATACAAAGGTCAATTGTATCCACATACTTATAACAAAAAATTAAAAATCTAATGTTTTTTAAAAATTACCATATATTATATAATAGCACCAAAACATGAAACACTTAAGTATAAATCTCATGAAACTATGTGCAAGATTTCTATGCTGAAAACAACAAAACACAGATATAAGGATCCACAGACATATAGATGGAGAGAATATGCCATATTTATGGACTAGAAGACTCAATATTGTTAAAATGTCAAATCTCCTCAAATTCATCTATATAATCAATGCAATGCCAACCAAAATCCAAGTTGAAATTTTAGCAGAAATCAACAAGTAATTCTCAAATTTATTTGGAAAAACAAAGGAACTAGACCAGACAAAACAATTTAGAGAAAGAGAAATGTTGGGGAATTGCAGTACTAGATTTCAACATTTATGGCCATAAAGAGTGTGGTACTGGTCAAGTGACAGAGCGACAGACAAAGAGATAAGTGAAATAAAATTAGAGGATCCAAAAACAGACCACAGCTTTGTGAACTCTCAACAAAGGTATACATTCAATTCAATCAAGAAAGAATAACCTTTACAACAAATGGTGCTGGAAAAATTGAACATCCATATGCAAAAACAAAGAACTTCAATCTATACCTTGCCTAACATACAAAAATTATACAAAAATTAATAACATACCTAAATGTAAAACCCCAAATTTTAAAACTTCTGGAAGAAAACAGGAGAAAAATCTTTGTGACCTTGAATTAGGTAACAATTTCCTAGACACAAAACCAAAAGCATAATCCATACAACTAAATAATTTATTAGCCACACCAAAATTTTAAAAATCTGCTCTTCAAAAGACAGTCACAATGAAAAGACAAGCCACTAGATGAGGACAAAACATTTGCAAAACACGTATCTGATAAAGGACCTAAATCCAGAATACACATACATCTCTGAAAACTCAGTAACACAACAGCCCAATAAAAATAGGGAAAGTGTTTGAAAAGACACTTCACCAAAGGAGATACACAAATGGCAAGCACACAAAAAGATGCTCAGCATCATGGCTATTAGAAAAATGGAAATTAAATCCATACCTATTAGAATGGCTAAAATTAAAAAATAAAAATCTGAAAATACCAAGTGTTGACAAGAATGAGGAACAACTGGAATGTTCATAGATTAGTGGTGAAAATTTAAAATGGTACTGCCAGGCCAGGCGCAGTGGCTTACGCCTGTAATCCCAACACTTTGGGAGGCTGAGGCAGGCAGATCACCTGAGGTCAGGAACTTGAGACCAGCCTGGCCTCCATGGTGAAACCCCATCTCTACTAAAAATACAAAAATTAGCTGGGTGTGGTGGTGCACGCCTGTAATCCTAGCTACTTGGGAGGCTGAGGCAGGAGAATCACTTGAACCCACGAGGTGGAGGTTGCAGTGAGCCGAGATCGTGCCACTGCACTCCAGCCTGGGCAATAGAGCGAGACTCTGTCTCAAAAATAAATAAAATAAATAAAATAAAATAAAATAAAATAAAATAATAAAATAAAATAAAATAAAATAAAATAAAATAAAATAAAATAATAAAATAAAATAAAATAAAATAAAATAAAATAAATAAAATGGTACAACCACCTGAGACAACAATTTGGCAATTTCCTATACATTTAAACACATACTTACCACATAACTCAGCATATGAGTTATATGCTGAGATAGTTTTATGTCACAACTCATACAATTGTCTACTAACAAGTGAATTTTGTTCTATGTAAATTATAACTCAACAAATCTGGCTTTATATTAAAAATAAGAAGAAGGCCAGGCTTGGTGGCTCACGCCTGTAATCCCAGCACTTTGTGAGGCCAAGGTAGGTGGATCACCTAAGGTCAGGAGTTCGAGACCAGCCTGAAAAACATGGTGAAACCCTGTCTCTACTAAAAATACAAAAATTAGCCAGGTGTCATGGCAGGCACCTGTAATCCCAGCTACCTGGGAGGCTGAGGCAGGAGAATCACTTGAACCCCAGAGGCAGAGGTTGCAGTGAGCTGAAATCACGCCATTGCACTCCAACCTGGGCGACAGAGTTAAGACTGCATCTCAAAACTAAAAAAAAATAAAAATAATAATAAGAAATTAGATCCCTGGACCCTCTCCCCTATTCCCTGCCTCTGGAAAAATGCCCTTCCCTAGTAGAGACTGGACATTTCTTTTCTTTTCTTTTTTTTTGTGAGACAGAGTCTCACTCTGTCACCCAGGCTGGAGTGTAGTGACGTAATCTCAGCTCACCGCAACCTCCGCCTCCCAGTTCAAGTGATTGTCCTGCCTCAGCATCCTGAGTAGCTGGGATCACAGGCACCTGCCACCACACCCAGCTAATTTTTATATTTTTAGTAGAGACGGGGTTTCATCATGTTGGCCAGTCTGGTTTCGAACTCCTGACCTCAGGTGATCCGCCCACCTCAGCCTCCCAAAGTGCTGGGATTAGAGGTGTGAACCACCCCACCTGGCCTGGACATTTATTTTCTAAAGAATCTCTGGAGGTGAAACATCAGGCACAATTGAGGATGGAGGTTCTGTCTGGAAAACATGTGGATTAGATAAACACATACCTACAAGCTCTAAGACATTCCCTCTATCTCTACTTTGTTTCCGGAGTTTATAGGCCTTCATCCCTCCAGAAATAAGGGTGGGTGAGTCTTCTCCAGACAATCTGAACAACCCAAGACAACACAGTCGAAGATACTGACCTATGGGTTCCCAATTAATTGATGCACCAGCTCACACTGCAGAAAAGTTCAGAAGCTCCACCCATATGCTCACAGCTTCCAATCGGCATTATAAATCCCACTGTTAAACATGACCAGACAACCACACATCACCAGACACCTGAGAAAAAGATAAATGGCTATCATTTTAAACAGGAACAAAAGGAGGACAAAGAAAAGAGATTGTGCAGTGAGAAGAAAAGTTTTAAAAAACTATTATTAATATCTTCCTCAAGGAGGTAAAAGAAGCTATATCATCTGTTAAACAAGAATGGGATGCTATTTTTTAAGACAATTAAAAATAAACAGCAGTCTTAGAAATTAAATGCCTGAGAGTAGAGATGAAAACTTCAATAGGAAGTATGAAAAAAGAAGTTGAGAGTACAGATGTCCCCTCTTATCTGTTGCTAAAACTTTCTGTGGTAGTGCCGGCATGTGTCAAATACAATCAAACTTGTTCCTGTCAGGTGCTTTCTGACAGTGGCAAAGCTCTCAGGGCACACACTGAGCATTCCCTCCTCCTATGGGCTTCCTGGCCACCTCCAAAGCACATATGGATTCTGGACCATGTCAGCCACATCTTAGGCAATGCCCCAGGCTCCTTGAGCACCTAGGAACATGGAGTCATCGAGCAGCAACATAAGCCCATTCTTACAAGCTTCAAAGAACAAGAAGGCAAAAAAAAAAAAAAAATCTTCCTTGACCCCAAACTGGCCTCCAGTTCTGCCCAGTTCTTGACTCCCTTCCCAGGAATATTACAAGAGTGGTCTGTTGTTGCTACCGCCCCACCTCACCTTCACCCTTCAGTCACGCTACCATCTGCTCACTGCTGAGACAGCTTCTCTCAAGGTCACCAATGTCCTCCATGTTGTCACTGCTCAGCTTTCGTCTCACTTGACTCCTCTGGCTTTTCTTGGCTTCCATAGCACTCCTTCACCAGTCCCTCCTTATACTTCTCCTTTAGATGCTAGCCCAGGGCTCTGTCCTAGGCTTCCTTCTCTTTCTACTCTCCTTAGGTGACTTCGTCTACTCCATGACTTCAAATCCCATGTATCTACCAGTGACTCTAAATCCATTTCTCCAACCCCAGCCTTTCCCTGGAATTCCAGACTTCATAGCCACAAAAACTTGCCTGGACAACTCCCCTTGGGAATTTACTGCCAACTCAGGTTTCACAAGGCCAACACCCAACTCCTGATTCTCTGTGCTCCTGCCTCATCTTCCCCATCTCAGTAAACAACGTTACCATTTACCCACCCAAAGATGCAGGTATTCTCAGTAAACAGCATTACCATTTACCCACCCAAAGATGGCAGGTATTGTTATTGATTCGTCTCTTCTCTCACATCACATCTTATCAACTCTACCTCCCAACACGCCCTAAGCCCATAACCACCACCCTAGTCTAAGCTATCCTGCTTCCCCCAGACTACTGTAATAGCCTTCTTGGTGGCTTGCTTATTTAATTTTGCATTCTTGCCTCTTCCTACCCCTATCCATCTGCCATGCTGCAGCTAGAATTAAACTGTTTGTTTGTTTGTTTCTTTCTTTGTCTGAGACAGAGTCTGGTTCTCTTGCCCACGCTGGAGTGCAGTGGCATGATCTCAGCTCACCGCAACCTCCGCCTCCCAGGTTCAAGTGATTCTCCTGCCTCAGCCTCCCGAGTAGCTGAGACTACAGGCACATGCCACCATGCCCAGCTAATTTTTGTATTTTAAACTTTTTAAACAGAAATCAGAATACACACCTTCCCTGCTCTCCCACAGATCCTCACTGCACTCATGATGGAGACCCAAGTCCTCGTTCTGGCTGATGAAGCCCCGCCAGATCAAGCCCTCCTGCTTCCCGGCGTTCCCCTCGTATCACTCATCCATCTGCACCATGCCCCAGGAGCGCCAGCCTGCTCTGCATTTTCTTAACCAGAATGTTCCTGCCCCAATCTTCACATGTCTTGCTCCTTTCAAATCTCACTCAGTAGAGCAATTCCAGCTCCAACATGCTGAGAACTAAGCTCCGATTTTTTAAATCTTGCCCAAATTCCTACCTAAGGGGTCTGGGGAGTCATGCCCTACAAACCATGGATTCTCATCAGATGAGTTGTATTTGACCCTATATATTGTGACTTACTTTTCAATCTGACTCTGGCATAACATTATGAGACAAGGACAAAATATTTAACTCCAAAATATATTTCCTTGCCATGCCCTGAAATTGCCCTGCAAAGTCTTTTGTGGGAAAAATCCACATTCTACAGAGAATCCCCTTCCTCTTTTATTTTCCTTCCTTTCTTTGCAGATCCAGGAGATAATCAATTAAGAGCCAGGCACCCTTTTAGGTCTGATAAAAAACAATTTACAACCTGCTCTCTCTGAAGTCTGCTATCTACGGGCTTCCTCTGCACAATAAAACTTGGTCTCCGCAATCCTTTATCTTTAACCTGAACATTCCTTTCCATTGATCCTAGGTCTTCAGACAACCTCAACCAGTTGTCACCCAGAAAATGTTTAAATTTACCTATCACTTGAAAGCCCCTGCTTTGGGTTGTCCACCTTTCTAAACTAAACCAACGTAATTCTTAAACATATTTGATTGATGTCTCATGCCTTCCTAAAATACATTAAACCAAGCTGTACCTCAACCACCTTGAGCTGAATGTTCTCAGGACTTCCTGAGGGCCGTGTCACAGGCCCTCATTATGGTCACTCATAATTAGCTCAGAATAAATCCCTTCAAATATTTTACAGAGTTTGACACTTTTTGTCAACAATGCAAAGAGCTTAGAAATCAGCACTTCCATCCTTCACTAAGAAAAGCAGAACAAACAAATCAATGACTTTTCTTGGACCCATCAAAGAATTAAGGCCACCATGAAATCTGGAGAGTCACAACAAGATCTGCTTCCCTGGAGGAAAAGCTGCTGTAGCCATACCGGTGGGAACATTTAAATGACAAATTGTTGGAAGCTGAGGGTGGACAACCATGAGAATCAGGAACTCCTGGGGGTCGCAGTCTTAGGGGGGCCCCATATTTTTGTGGATTTTGTCTCTAGGAACCCCATGAGGTTCTCAAAGTGCGAAGAAAGCTCCCTCGTGGCTCTGGCAGGGGGACAGGAAGAGTAGCCATTATGAATACACCCTGTTTCCAGGGAAAGACCTCACCAGAGCCTTATCTCACCTAAAGGGAAGGGCTTTTCTCCCACTCCAGGCCTCTCTGCCATCCCTGACTTACCTAAGCAGGGGAGGGGGTTAAGAAACACTTTTGAAGACCAAAGCCCAGAGACACAGGCCCACTAAAAGATTGAGATGATAAATACTTCTCCTCTCCACACACACCTTAAATCATACCAACAGAGATGAGAGAGCATAACACGCAACAGGGATTTTTAAAACGGTATTATAGCTGAGAGAGCTGAAAGACATCAATTCCATCTAAGGAGGAATTCTTAGGGAAACCCAAAGGGAAGAGGGGAGAATAAACAAGGATGCTAGAAGAGTATAAAGCCTCTGTCCCCTACAGTAAACACAGCCCAACTCCTAGCCAGATTACCAAAACACCTCACGCTAAAGGCCTATTTTCCTCAGTCCCCATTACACAATAAATCATGTCCAGCTTTCAACCAAAAATTGCAAGGCATTCTAAAAGGAAAGAAAAATCACAGTCTGACGAGACAAACCAAGCATCAGAACCAGCTGCACAGATGACAGATTTTAGAAGTATCAGATAGGGAATTCAGAATATCTATGATTAATATGCTAATGGCTTTGTATTAGTTTGCCCAGCCTGCCATAACAAAATACCACAAACTGGGTGGCTTAACAACATGAATTTATTTTCTCACAGTCTCTAGAGGCTGGAAGTCTGAGATCAAGTTCTCAGCAGGCCTGCTTTCCTCTGAGACCTCCCTCCTTGGCTTGCAGACGCCACCCTCTTGCTGCCTCTTCATGTGGTCATCCCTCTGTGCACACAGGCCCCTGGGGTTTCTCCATGTATCTTCATCTTCTCTTCTTATAAAGACACCAGTCTCACTGGACTAGGGTCCACCCTAATGGCCCAATTTTACTCTAATGAAAAGTCCCTATCTCTAAATACATTAACATTCTGAGAGACTGAGGGTTAGAACCTCAACATATAAATGGGGGGTGGGGAGGGGGAGAACACAATTCAATATATAACAAATTCTAATGGCAAAGTAGAAATATGAAAGAACAGATGTATAATATAAACAGAAATGGAAATTCCAGAAAAGAATCACATTTCAGCTTACATATTCTCTCCTCACAGAGGCCATCCCTTATCGCCCACTCATTGTCAAGCCCATTAACCTATTTTAGTTCTCTCAATAATAGTTATTCTATGAAATAGGAATAAGTGTTCTTCCTTAGTCTGAAAGCTTCATGAAAGCAGAACATTGGCTGTGTTGTTCACCACCTTACAGTAAGGGCTCAGTAAATATTTGCTAAATGAATGGAAAGGATTTATTTTATGTGGCTAAGGCTGATGGGATACAAGGGACACAAATGATAAGGAAATTTCTGGACAAATTGCATCACTAGTCAAGCTGAAGAGATAGCTATGTGAGCCCCCTGAAAGGGTAAAATAAAACAGGCCACTTTATCCATGAGACAAATGCTGTCAAGGGCACAACCCAAATGGAACAACCTCATGAGGACATCATCCTAAGGAAAACATGGAACAACTTCATGAGGACGTCATCATAAGGAAAACACTACAGCAGGGTGACAGCCTTTGAGGGGAACACAGACGAAAAGAATGTGAATGGCTGATAACGCACCAAAACTCTGCTCACAACATAGGTAGAAGAATAACACAGAGCTCAGGTCTAATCATGAAAAGCCTCATTACTTGAGACTGAGAACATTTACGATAGTCATGGCTGAACTTTGGGTTTAAAGACACATGAGGCAACTTAAATGAAAAAGAAAATTGCCTGACATCAGCAGAAAGATGACACAGATGTTCAAATTATCTGATATGATTTATGGTGGTTTTAAATCGGCCATCAAAAAATTTCTTTAGTGAGCAACTGTGCTAGAAACCAATGAGAAAAAAACAACATATAAAGAAAACCAAAATGGAAAAATTAAAACAGAAAAAATAAAATAACTGAAATTAAAATCTTGGTGAAGACAGAATGGAGGGGACAGAGGCAAAAAAAAAAAAAAAAAATCAGTAAATTGGAAGATAGGACGACAGAAACTACCCATTCTGGGTAACATTATCAAGATAGCCAGCTAGAAGTGCCTAGCATTCAACCCCCTCACAGAGACAGCCAGAACAATGAATACACAACTACATGTTAACAAAAACAACTGAGGGAGAGTGCTAAAGTGCATTAGAGGAGTAACAGAAACCCTGGCGAGCCCAGAAATTCATGATAGTCACAAAAAGAACAGAAGGAAATGCCGGGCCCCTGGCACCCCATCCCCTAACCAGGGTCAGCTAGAACCCAGGAAAACACCTCCCTTCAGTGAGGAGGTAATCAAGAGGACCCCAGCAGCCCCCACCAACACCGTGGACACCCACCGCCCTCACCCTTGGGGTCCCTTGCAGTCCTCACAGGCACGAAGCCCAGGGTGGAGTGAGCTGCCTGGAGGCCACACCACTGTGCTCCCGCCGGAGAAGGAATCGACACTGTGCCTGCCCCCGTGGCCCTCACGGTGCCCTCTTGGAACTGGAACTACTGCTGGAGTGTATCTTGTTCCTGGGGTAGCAGCCCCAGCTCCCCTTCACCCCTGAAGCTAAGCCGCTGCCCAACCACCCCAGCCCAGTGGCCCCACATCCCCCAGCCAAGCTGCAGGCAGCTGTTACACCTCCTCTGTGGGGCCAAGCAAAGGTGGGGCCACTCCACTACCCGCTCTTGCCCCCTCAGGCTGGAGCTAAAGCCATAAACGGCCTCCAGGGAAAACAATACCTTGGCTGCTCAGAGCAGTCATGCCTCCTGGAACCCAAGTTGAAGAAGCACTCTGCATCCAGGGAAATGCCTGGGCCACCCAGGACAGTCCCGTCCCTCAGGCCTGAGTGGAAGCGACACACCACCGCAAGGGGAATCAGTGCCCTGGCTGAGCTGAGCAGCTGCACATCCCAGGGCTGAGCTGATGCAGTGCCCTACATCCCAGAGAAACAGAGCAGTAGCTGAGCCCAGACATCCCACCTTACAGGCCAAACAACTCAACTGCCTGCTTCCCTAGAGCTGAACTAGCCCCCCACCCCAGTCTGAGCTGCTGAGACACCTCTCTCCCTGCAGAGTGGAGTCATGGATACGCTGCTTCCCACCCTCCTCAGGGCCCCAGTGACAGGTGTGCTCTGTCATTCTGGGGTACGTTCTCCTGCCACACATGGCCTCACAGAGTCTGGGATACTTACAAGCCCCACCATCCCAGGGTCTTGAGTCATTATTACACAGTGTCACATCCCCTGGGACCGGAGCTGCCACTGAGCCCTGTTGGCTCCGGTTCCGGAACTGCAGCCATACCCTGGCTCCCCAGGCCCAAGCCCCCAGAGCACCCCTTCTTCCTCAGAGTTCCGCCAGTGCTGTACCCTGCCCCACCCCCTGGGGTAGAATCACAGTTACAACCTGGCCCCCTGGGCCCGAGCTGCTAGAGGGTGCCTCAGAGTCACAGATCCTGGCTCTGAGGGCCACCTAAATCCAACCCTGCCATAAGAGAGCAAACCTGTACCCCAAGACCCACATGCCACAATAGGGGTCGCAACCCAGCCCTGCAACCATTACAAGCACCTACACCTGGAACCCAGCACCATGGCAGCTGCTTGTAGGCCATGTCAGAGCAGACATCAAAGGAATTCCCCTCAGCTAAGTCTCCCCATTGCAAGGAAAATGAGACCAGGAGGACCCCAAAAGCCCTTGATACCAAGGACATTAACAACTTACACTGTCACCACCACTGTAACAAACTTCTATAGCCTGGGCCACTGAGGCTAACACTGAACACAGCTGAAAAAGGTTCATGGAGACTATACCACTGCACCTAACCAGCAACAGTCACTACACCTTTCCTAAATGGCACACTAAAACCCAATTTCAGGTAAAAGTCTCTCTCTACAAAAGCCATGCTAGAAAATCTGGAAAAGGCAATTATTCCACCATATGTACAGACATCAATGCAGGGACACAAGAAACATCAAAAAGCAAGGAAATAGGACACCACCAAAGGAACATAATAACTTTCTAGGAATAGAAGACCCCATCAAAGAGAAAATCAGTGAACTGCCAAAAAGAAAAATTCCAAATGATCTTAAGGAAACTCAATGAGACACAAGAAAATACATATAGACAATTCAACAAAATCTGGAATTCATGATCCAAACAAGAAATTCAACAAAAAGTCAGAAATCATAAGAAAGAACTAAACAAATCCTGAAGCTGAAGAATTCAATGAATTACATTTAAAATACAATAGAGAGCTTCAACAGCAGACTTGATCAAGCAGAAGAAAGAATCTCTGAATATGAAGACAGGTCATTTGAAACTGCCCACTCAGAGGGGAGAAAGAAAGAAATAAGAATGAAAAAGAGTGAAGAAAGTCTGCAAGACTTATGGGACACTATTAAGCAAATGAATTTCATATAATGAGAATTATAGAAGGAGAAGAGAGATAAGGGAAGAGGTATAGAAATCCTACTTAAATAATAGCCAAAAACTTCAAAAGTCTGGGAAGACATATGGACATCCAGGTCCAGGAAGTTTAAAGGTCCTTAAATAGATTCAACCAAAAAAAATTATTCCCCAGGCACACTGTAGCCAAATTGTCAAAAATCAAACACAAAGATAAAATTATAAAAGCAGCAAGATAAAAGCATCAAGTCACATACAAAGGAATCTTCATTAGACTAGCATAAAATTCTCCACAAAAACCTTACAGCCCAGAAGAAAATGTGATGTAATATTCAAAATGATGGCAGAATAAAATTGGCAGCCAAGATTATTATACCCAGCAAAGTTATCCTTCAGAAATGAGGGAGACATAACGTCTTTCCCAGACAAGCAAAAACTTAAAGGAATTCGTCACTACTAGACTGGCCTTACAAGAAATGCTCAAGGAAATCCTACATCTGGAAGTGAAAAGATGATAAACACTCTCTTAAAAACCCACAAAAGTATAAAACATACTGGTACAGCAGATACACAAGGGAGAAAGAGAAAAGAATCAAGCCTTATCATTAAAAAACCTCACTAAACCTCAATGATAAAAAACAAGATAGGAAGAAGGAAACAAAGACTATACAAAACAACTGCAAAACAACAAAATGACAGGAGTAAGTCCTTACCTATCACTAATAAAATTAAATGTAAACAGATTAGATTCCCCCACTTAAAAGACATAGACTAGCTGAATTAATTTGAAAAAATATTAACTCTCTAGTAACAGACCCCAGTGAAAAGCAAACTACATATTGCCTACATGTAACTCATGTCATTTGTAAAGACACATATAGACTGAAAGCAAAGGGATAAAGAAAAGATATTCCACACAAATGAACACCAAAAGCAAGCAGGGGTAGCTTTATTTATATCAGTTAAAATAGATTTTATGTCAAAAACTATAAAGAAGGTCATTATATAATGTTAAAAAGATCAATTCAGCAAGAGGATATAACAATTCTGAACATATATGCACCCAACACTACAGCACCCAGATATATAAAGCAAATGTTATTAGATCTAAAGGGAGAGATAGACTCCAATATGATAATAGTTAAAAATTTAAACACCCCACTCTCAACATGGAACAGATCACCTAGACATAAAATTAACAAGGAAACTTTGGCTTTAACCACACATTAGACCAAATGGACCTAACAGATGTTTACAGAACATTTCATCCAACAGCTACAGAATACACTTTCTTCTTATCAGCACACAAAACCTTTTCCAGGGTGGACCATGTTAGGACACAAAACAAGTCTCAACAAATCTAAAATAATTAAAATTATAGCAAGTATCTTTTTTGACCACAGTGGAATAAAACTAGAAATCAACAATAAGGAACTTTCAAAATTGGGCAAGTATGTGTGAATTAAACAACCTGCTCCTGAACAATCAATGAGTCAACAACAAAATCAAGAGGAAAATTTTAAAATTAATTGAAACAAATGAAAATCAAAACACAATATATCAAAACCAATAGGATATAGCAAAAGCAGTGCTAAGAGGGAAATTTAGAGCAATAAATGTCTACATCAGAAAAGTGGAAAGATTTTAAATAAATAAGCTAATAATGTATTTCAAGGAAATACAAAAGCAAGAACAAACCAAACCCCAAACTAGTACAGGGAAAGAAATAATAAAGATCAGAGAAGAAATAAATAAAATTAAGGCCAGATGTGATGGCTCATGCCTGTAATCACAGCACTCTGGAAAGCGGTGATGGGAGACTCACCTGAGCCCAGGTATTCAAGACGAGCCCGGGTAACAAAGCGAGACCCCGTCTCTACCAAACAAACAAAAACACCCACTTGTCAGGTGTGGCAGCGTGTGCCTATAATGCAAGCTACTCAGGAGGCTAAGGTGGGAGGATTGCTTGGCCCCAGCAGGTCAAGGCTGCTGTAAGCAGTGATTGTACCGCTGCACTCCAGCCTGAGTGACAACAAGACCATGTCTCAAAAACAAAACAAAATTAAGAGTAAAAAGCAATACAAAATATCAACAAAACAAAAAGTTGGTTTTTTGAAAAGTTAAACAAAAATCAAAAACCATTAGCTAGAGGAACCAAGAAAAAGAGAAAAGACCCAAATCAATAAAATCAGAAATGAAAAAGGAGACATAACAACTGATATTACATAAATAGAAAGGATCATGAGAGGCTATTAAAAAGAACTCTATTCCAACAAATTAGAAAACCTAGGGGAAATGGATAACTTCCCAGACACATACAACCGACCAAGAAGAACAAAGAAGACACAGAAACCTGAAGAGACCAGTTACAAGTAACAAGATTCAATCTGTTAAAGAAAAGCCCAGAATGGGATGGCTTCACTGTAGAATTCTACCATGCATTTAAAGAACTGATACCAATTCTTCTCAAACTCTTCCAGAAAATTGAGGAGGAAGGACTTCTTCCAAACTTATGCTATAAGGCCAACATTACCTTGATACCAAAACCAGATAAGGACACAACAACAAAAACAACAGGCCAACATCCATGATAAACACGGATGCAAAAATTCTCAACAAAACACTAGCAAACCAAATACAGCAGCATATTACACAGATCATTCACCATGATCAAAAAAGATTTATGCCAGAGATGCAAGCATGGTTCACCACATGCAAATCAACAGATATTATACAACATATTAATAGAATTAAGTGCAAAAACCATATGGTCATCTCAACAGATAAAGAAAAAGCATTTAATACCATCTGGCATCGCTTTATGACAAAAACTCTTAATAACTTAGGTACAGAAGCAACACAATAGAGGCCATATATGACAAACCCATAGCCAACATCATAATGAACAGGGAAAAGCTGAAAGCTTTTCTTCTAAGATCTGGAATAAGACAAAGATTCCCACCATCACCACTCCTATTCAAGATAGTACTGTAAGTCCCAGCTAGAGCAATTAGGCAAGAAAAAAATAAATAAAGGGCATCCAAATTGGAAAAGAGGAAGTCAAATTGTCCCTGTTTACAGACAACATTATTGTATACACAGAAAACTCTAAAAGGTCCACCAAAAATTGTTAAAATAAATGAATTCAATAAAGAAAGTTGCTGAACACAAAAATCAACATGCAAAATTCAGCAGCATTTCTATACACCAATAACACAATCTCAAAAATAAATCAGTGAGGCAATCCCATTTACAATAGCTACAAAAAATATTTAGGAATAAATTTAACCAAATTTAAACATGAAGTAAAAGATCTCAAAAAGAAAAACTATAAAACACCGATGAAAGAAACTGAAGACACAAACAAATGGAAAGACATCCCATGTTCATAAACTAGAACAATAAATATTGTAAAAATGACCATACTACCAAAAGCAATCTACAGAATCAATGCAATCCTTGCCAAAATACCAATGACATTCTTCACAAAAAAAAAAAAAAAACAGAAAAAACAATCCTGAAATTCATAATGGAAGTACAAAAGACTCCAAATAGCTGAAGCAATCCTGAGCAAAAAAAAACAACAACAAAAAAAAAAACAGACTATCACACTACTCTACAAGAATGGCTAGACCACACAAAATCTTGTATAGGAATGTTAATCTAGCAGCATGATTCATAACATCCAAAAAGTGGAAATAACCCAACGTCCATCAAATGATGAATGGGCGAACAAAATGTCGTATATACACATAATGGGATATTAGGTCATAAAAATGAATGGTGTACTGACACATGATACAACATAGATGAATTCTGAAAACACACTAAGCCAGACACAAAAAGCCACATACTGTACAACACTAATTTTATAAAATGTTCATAATAGGCAAATCCATAGTGACAGAAAGCAGATTAGTCATTGCCAGGGATGGAGTCACTGCTAATAGGTATGGGGGTTTCTATTGGTGGCAATGAAAATATTCTAAAATTAGACAATGGTAATGCTTGCACAACTCTGTGAACATACTAAAAACCACTGAATTGTGTATTATGAATGAACTTTACAGCATGCAAATTATATCTCAATAAAGCCATTTTTAGAAAAATGATGTGAGAAAAATAGAAAAATTCTAACAAGAGCTAAAGATTATCTAAAAATATCATACCAATGTTAATTTTGTGGTTTTGGTAACTGTTCTATGGTTATGTAAGATGCTAACATTAGGGGAAGCTGGGTGAGAGTTACTTGCTACTATTTTTCCAACTTTTCTATAAAGTGGGGCCAGGCATGGTAGCTCACTCCTGTAATCACAGCACTTTGGGAGGCTGAGGTGGGCAGATCACCTGAGGTCAGGAGTTTGAGACCAGCCTGGCCAACATGGTGAAACCCATCTCTACCAAAAATACAAAAATTAGCTGGGCACCTGTAGTCCCAGCTACTCTGGAGGCTGAGGTGGGAGAATTGCTGGAACCTGGGAGGTGGAGGTTGCAGTGAGCTGAGATCATGCCACTGCACTCCAGCCTGGGTGACAGAGCAAGGCTGTCTCAAAAAAAAAAAATCTGGATGTCAAAATAAGGTTAAAATTTACATAGGGTAAACTGCATAAATCTTATGAGTAAAATTAAGGTCTAACAGAAATGCATGCACCACAAAAAACATCGCTCTGTCAAGATACAGTGTGTCTCTCCCCCTGCCATGAAGCTCCCTCATGCCCTCCTGTCCCTTCTAGGCAGCCCAACCCATAAGTGACTGATGCTCTGGTTTCTACCACCCTAGATTAGTTCTGCTTATTCTTGAAAATCACAGGAATGGAGCCACACAGAAAACAAACCCCAATAAAGCACTATTTCACTATTAAAGCTCTGGCAAATGAAAATAAATAAAATTACATTCTGCTTGGTTTCTTCTACAGTTTCTCAGTTTAGTCCCCTCTTGACATTCTGGGGCTATTTTCTCCTCACAAAGTTCTATCAAGAGCTTGGATGGACATGAAAACCCTGCCTGTATCTCACCACGTTTCCTCCCAACAGTAGACAGATTTTTTTTGTTAATGTGCTCGCTCATTAAACCATTTGTGAGTGGGAAGGAGTATGGGGCAGAGAATCTACGCTGGTGACCTGGAGCAGCCAGCGTAACAAGAGGGCCACCAACAACTCTGAACACTGAAACAATCTCAACCAGGCACTCGGAAAGCTCCCCTGGCTGATGGCCTCCAGCTGGAAGGTCTCAAGTCACAGGTCTCTGCCATGGACAAATGCTTCTGGTAAGCATACGGCCACTCAGTCACATCTATCAGCAGCAGCAGCATCTGGCAGGAACTGTGCCTGTGGCTAGGCTTAAATAACTGCACCAATCCACGCTGAACAGCTGAGAAGCAACTGAGTCTACCAGCTGTGCCAGTTCAATTCACAGGCATCCACTGCAGGCCCAGCCACTGGACAGAGGATGTACTGCTGGGCAATGACTGGTTATCATTACTGGCAGGCAACATTCTTCCCTACTCTCTGCAGGGATTTGGGGAGAAAACTCAGAATGAGAGGTAAAGATGTAACCATGCTTCAATAAAATGATGAGGAACTTTAAAATCCCATTTCTTTATACACACAGCCAAACTGAAACATCTTATCCTAAAGCTGGTGCACGCTGACTTAGGTTCCTTAGAAAGAAGGCTCCACCAGGCACGGGCATCTGTCTGATAGGAAGCAAGGTCTACAAACTCCCTCCTTGCCCATACTTCTCTTCACCGCCCCTTCCTATTCTCCATGTCACACTCACTGTCAACATCAAGGTAGCTCAATGTTTCCCAAACTGGGTCCCTCAGGACACTAGTTCCCCACAATGGTAAGAGGGTTTTCATATGTCCCACGCTCACACCCAGTGGGAAGGGGAAGGGAGGGAAAAACAAAATGGCACTCAGAGTTAAGTCACAGCTAACTGAGAACAAGGAGATGGCACTGAGACACCCTAGCTCCACATGCCCTTGTGATAGCTCTTGTCGCAGGCATTGATTTCCCAGTGCCACATTTCTCAGACATGGGCACTCATGCTAACACAAAGAAAACTCACCAAACTCGGCCTGGAGGACACCCTGACAGCTATGCTGGCTCCTTGGTACTTGCTGGTGGGCTCCTCAGGCACATGCTCACAGGGCCCTATTGTCAACCACACCTTCAAATGACAATAAACAAATCTATCTTTACTTATCTGCTAATTGTCTGTTTTTCTAAAACTCACACATTAAATGCATAAACTATAATAACACATGAGGCACACTGAGTGTGCAGCACCATGTGGAGGCGCAAACACAGACTCTGGAGTCACTCACCAGCAGCCCCTCGGCAAAGCCATGTCACCTTGCTAGGCCTTTGTTTTCTCATCTATAAACTGGTTTTAAATTCTCTACACCACTATTATAAAGACTAAATAAAGGAGGAGATACCAGCAAAACTGTCTATCACACTTGGTAGATAGTAGGCATTCCATAAACAGTAATTTCCAAATTACACAAACTAAAGCCTCACCCCACCCCCATGCTCTCCTCCAACACCCCATGCCTGCCACATGGGCCTCTGGCTCTGCTAACACACCCCACCTCGGGCGCTTGTACATGTTGATCCCTCTGGCTGGAACGTGCCTTCCCAGACACCCTAAGAGCTTGCTTCGCTTCCTTTCCAACTTGGGCCTGGCAGAATGGCTCCTACAAAGGGTGGCGAGAAGAAAAAGGGCCGTTCTACCATCAACAAGGTGGTGACCTGAGATACGCCATCAACATTCACAGCACATCCACAGAGTGGCCTTCAAGAAGCGTGCCCCTCAGGCACTCAAAGAGATTTGGAAATTTGCCATGAAGGAGATGGGAACTCCAGATATGTGCATTGATACCAGGCTCAACAAAGCTGTCTGGACCAAAGGAATAAGGAATATCCCATACCGCATCCGTGTGCGGTTGTCCAGAAAATGTAAAGAGAATGAAGATTCACCAAATAAACTCTATACTTTGATTACTTATGTACCCGTTACTGCTTTCAAAAATCTATAGACAGTCAATGTGGATGAGAACTAACAGCTGATCATCAAATACATCAAATAAAGTTATAAAATTGCCTTAAAAAAAAGAGCTCACTTCCCTCTTCTTTCAGATCTTCGTGTGGATGTCAACCGCTCAGTGGTCTTCCATGACCACTCTAAAATTAAAACACAAAAGCTACCCCTCTCAGGTCTCCCGCCCTTTACCCTCCATGGCATTAAATATCACAGAGTCCACAGTGCCCTGCGCTGCTTTACTGGCGCTGCTGTCTCTCCTCACTGGCTAGCTCCATGAAGGCAAGGACTTGGGGCTGTCTGGCTTGCTGCTGTGGCCTCAGTGCCTAGAACAGGACCTGGCACGTAGTGGTGAGTGAATTAGTGATGTTTAGTGATAGACACTGTTTCTAATTATGTAATTAGAAAGAAGGAGGACTACTACTAAGTGTAAATCTGATTAAAGATATTGAAGACCTCCATTCAGAAAACTACAATACCCTGTTGAGAGAAAGACGGCCCTAAGCAGTGAAGAAATGTATCATGTCATGTACTGGAGGTCTCAACACTCTAAAAACGTCAATTCTTCCAAACTGATCTACAGATTCCATGAAATTTCCATCAAAATCAACACGGTGTCCTTTGTGGAATTTGACAGGCAGATTCTAAAATTTATATGGAAAGGAGACAATAATAGTGAAGGCATTTTTTGAAGAAAAACAATGTTCGTTCTAGGTATCAAAAACTTATCCATCTTGACAAGAGGCAATGTAGCACTGCAGGATGGGAGACTGGCCGAGTGCAATGGAGAGCACAGACACAGACCCCACACACGTGTGGGCACCGAGGAGAGTGGGGAAAGCACAGTGCCCTCCGCAGTCAGTGCTGGGTCTGTGAGAACCCTGGGGAACGCTTAACTTGACCCCTATCACAGAGCATGCCCAAAGATAAATGCAAAAGGCAAAAAGAGAAACCGAGGAGAAAATATAGGCAGATATATTCATGACCTTGAGGTAAGCAGACATTTTCTTAACAGGATACATTAAGCACTCAGAGTACATTCAAATCAGGAACTTCTGTTCATCAAAACATACCATTAAGAGAAATAAAGCAAGACATGGAGTGGTAAAATAAATGCGCAACTTTAATAAAATCAAAAAAGATTCTGTATCCAGAATATACAAATTCAGACAACCTAAAAGAAAAAAAGGCAAGAGCTCTGAATAGGTTGTGACAAAAATGGATATCCAAATGGCCAGTAAACACAGGAAAAGGTGCTCCACTTCAGAACTCATAAAAACAATGCAAATTAAAACCACAATGAGCCAGCCCTCCATCCCCACAGAATGGCTACAATGAAGATCTCTGACAATACCAGGTGTTTCCAAGAAAGAAAAGCAACCAGAACGCTCCTTTGCTGTTGGTAAATGTTCACACCTGATATAACCACTTTGCAAAACAGCCCAGCATAAACTACTAGAGGTGAAGACATGCACTTCTATAGATCCCAAACTTCCATTCCTAAAGATAAACGCAACAGGAAAACATGCACATGTCCTTTACCAAACGACAAGTACAAGAATGTTAGAGAAGTACTATTTGTAAAGGCCAATAACTAGAAATAATCCAAATGTGCATCAATAGTAAAATGGATAACTAAACTGGTAAATTCATACAATAGAATACAGGTTGAGCATCATCAATCTGAAAATCCAAAACCCAAAGTGCTCCAAAGTTGGAAACTTTTTGAGTGCCAACATGATGACACAAGTGAAAAATTCCACACCTGACTTCACACGACAGGTTACAATCAAAAGGCAGGCACACAACACACAGTTTATTCAGAGTCACCAAGGGAAAAGAGACCGTTCAGGTCCCTTTGGCTGCGATGTCTTTTCCATGCAGGCCCGGATTCCCCAATGCAAGCACACCCACAAAGGTAATAAAATGGTGTGTGTGCAGGCCAGTGCACCAAGGGCAGGTTCCCCACATTGCCCCATGGAGGGCCAGTAAATACTGTTAAATACTTAGGTGTGCATAAGTGAGAGAAAATGACTGCTTGTCAGCCACTTATAAATTCAGAGTCAGGAATGATGGTGATGCAAACAACCACAGAATGTCTACATGGGCGGCTCAGAGAGTGACACCTTTACTTTCTGATGGTTCAACATACACAAATTTTGTTTCATGTACAAAATTACTAAAAGTACTATATAAAATTACCTTCGGGCTATGTCTATCACAGGTATATGAAATACATATGAACATGTTTAGACTTGGGTCCTATCCCCAAGGTATCTCATTATGGATATGCAAATATTCCAAAATCCAAAACAATCTGAAATCTGAAACACTTCCTGTCCCAAGCATTTCAAATAAGGGATATTCAACCTGTACTATAGAGCAGTGGTTCTCAACCAGGGCGAGGGGCATTTTGCCATCCCAGAGGGCAATCTGAACATCTGGAAACATTTTTGATTGTCACAAGTGGGAGACACTATTGGTATCTGGTGGGTAAAGACCAGGAAGACTGCTAAAATCCCTACAGTGAACAGGGCAGCCCCACAGCAGAGCATCATTAAGCCTGAAACGTCAGCAGTGCTGAGAAACCCTACGAGGTGGCAGTGAAAATGAACCACAGCTACATGCAACAGCACGATGGACCTCACTAGCAAAGTGCTCAATGAAAAAGCCAACATCAAAGTATGGTTTCATTTATATAATGTTCAAAAATGGGAAAATGGGAGTGGGTAGTGATGAGGAAGAAGCACACGCATTTCCTGGGTGCAGGCAACATGCCATTTCTCACCCTGGGTGGTGGTGAACAAATGTTCCTTTGTAATTATTCTCTGAGCTTCACTTTTATGTTTCTGTACTTTTCTCTAGGTATGCTGTGCTTCTCATTAAAAATGTTTTGAGACCAGGCATGGTGGCTTATGTCTGTAATCCCAGGACTTTGGGAGGCCGAGGCAGGTGTTTCACTTGAAGTCAGGAGTTCGAGACCAGCCTGGCCACCATGGCAAAACCTTGTCTCTAGTAAAAACACAAAAATTAGTTGGGCGTGGTGGCACACGCCTGTAATCCCAGCTACTGGGGAGGCTGAGGCAGAAGAATCGCTTGAACCTGAGAGGAGGGGGTTGCAGTGAGCTGAGATTGCACCACTGCACTCTAGCCTGAGCAACAGAGTGATACTCTGTGTCCAAAAAAAAAAAAAAAAGGGTTTTGAGGCTTCAAGATGGCTGACTAGACAGATCTGGTGCTCACCTCTTCCACAGAGAAGAACCAAAATAGCAAGTAATCACACTTCAAATAGATAACCTAAGAGAGAACTTTGGAATTCAACAAAGAAACATTCAGAAACACCAAAAGCAAGGAAGGAAAGAAAACCAAGGCAGCTTGCTAGGCTGGGATCAACTGGGAGTCAGCAGTGGCTCCCTAATTGGGGGAAAGGGTAAGTGAAAGACCCTTCCCAGCAGTTCACATTGCTGCTGTGGACTTCTACAATCCACAGCCCTGGGAGAGTCCTTCAATTCTAGAGGACCCCAAGACTACTGCGGAGAGCTGCCTGAAGACTGTACAAAGGCACTGCTCCACAGAGAGCCCACGCTGGGTGCCACAACCCCCCAAATCCTAAGCTGCTGTGGCATGGCACCACTTGGAGAGTACAACCCCCAATGAACTGCAGCCTGCCCCGCCACCAGGGTGGAGGTGGGAGCCACAGGGAGTGATCCCCCACACCATCCCTGCAGATGGGTAGCCATGTATTTTCATGAGCTCCAAGGTCAAAGTCGACTACCTGCAACTGCTACCACTATGAGCTGCTGCAGGCCTGAGGTGAGGTGCAATCAAAGCCCATGCCCCCTAGGTGCCTGACTACAGCTGCTCCCAGGGAAAGAAACCCTGCCCTCCCCAGTAGCAGGGACACAATGAAACTCTGGCCACCCCTACCTGAGCATTCCACGGGAGGCCTAGGAATCACCTCGATGCTACTTACCACAGCCAATAACTACACTCCCCACCAAGGGACCTGAGGGCAGGTCCAGCCAGCCTGCCTCCACCATCCCTCCCTAGAACCAGATCACACTGTCCAGGGGCCTGGGGATCACCAGTAGCATCTCAGCAGAGTCTCCCAGAGTGGGTCAGGCCCACTCAGCTTGCTGCTACCACCACCGCTGCGACCCACCCATATGTGCCACCTGCAGGTCCAAGGACCAGCCCACCCAACCTGTCACAGCCGTCACAAACATCAGCACTTTGGAAAACAGCCCAGCATAAGCTACCAGAGATGAAGACCCCAAAGGGCTGTCCCACCACTGCTGTTGCCATCACCCACACCACAACTGCTGTTGCCATCAACCACACCACACCTGCTGCTCAGGGGCTCAGGAACCCACCCACCCACCCAACCCACCACTGCCATTCCTAGTACCCAAAGAAGCCACCTGGAGGCCCAAGAACTGGCCTGCCTGGACCTACTAACACTGGTGCCAGTGTACACCACCCTGGGGCCTGAGGACAGGCATGCTCAGTCCACCACTGCCACCACTGGGGCCAAAAGACTGGCCTACCTGGCACCCAGGTCAACAGCAAAATTTCACCACAGCCTCCACTAACAACCATACCCTAAGCCATTAAGAAAATCATAGATATCATTAATGCTGTTTACAGCCAAAGAAATCATACAGAGACTACACTACTGCACACACCCAGATTCAAAACCAAAGTGCCCTACCTACCAATACCACAGATACATCTTCGGGAAAATGTCCTCTCCTACGAAAGTAAATTCAAAAAACTTAGAAGAAATGACCATTATACCACAGAGATACTAATGCAAGGGTACAGGAAACATGAAAAAGCAAGAAAATATGACATCTCCTAAAGAAAACAATTCTCCAGCAACAGATTCCAATCAAAAAGAAATTTATGGAATACCAGGAAAATAATTCAAAATATTGATAGTAAGGAAGTTCAATAGCATACAGGAGAATGCTGAAAAATACAAAGGAATTTAAAAAGCAATTCAGGATAAGAATGAGAAATTTGATCCAAGAGATGGATATTGTATTGGTCCTTTCTCACGCTGCTAATAAAGACATACCCAAGACTGGGTGATTTATAAAGGAAAGAGGTTTAACTGAAAGAGGTTTAATTGACTCATAGTTCAGCATGGCTGAGGAGGCCTCAAGAAACTTACAATCATGGCAGAAGGTGAAGCAAACACATTCTTCTTCACACAGAGGCAGGAAGAAGTGCTCAGCAAAGGGGGAAAAGCCCCTCATAAAAACATCAGATCTTGTGAGGACTCACTCACTATCACGAGAACAGCATGGGGGTCACTGCCCCCACGATTCAATTACCTCCCACCAGGTCCCGCCCAAGACATGTAAGGATTATGGGAACTACAATTGAAGATGAGATTTGGGTGCAGACATAGCCGAACCTTACCAGGTATCATAAAGAAGAGCCAAACAGAAATTCTGTAACTGAAAAATTCATTGAATGAAATACAAAACAAATTCAAAAGCTTCAATAATAACTAGAGAAGCCAAAGGAAAAAAATCTCAAAACTTGAAGGCAGACCATTTGAAATAACCCAGAGAGACAAAGATTAAAAAAAAAAAAAAAAAGAATTAAAAAGAATCAGCAAAGGCTTTGTAACATATAGGACATCATAAATCAAATATTCAAATTTTTGGTGTCCCAGAAGGTAAAGAAAAAGCAAACAGAAACTTATTTAACAATAGATGAAAACTTCCCAAGTCTAGAAAGAGATTTAGACATCTAGATACAAGAGTCTCAATGATCCCCAAATAGATAAAATTCAAAAAGATCCTCTCCACAGTACATTACAGTCAAACTGTCAAAAGTCAAATACAAAGAGAAAAATTTAGAAACAGCAAAAGAAAAGCATCTAGTCACCCACAAAGGAACCCTCATCAGACTAACGGATTTCTCAGCAGAAACCTTACAAGCCAGGAGAGAATGTGATGATACATTCAAAGTGCTGAAAGAGAAAAAAAACTGCCATTCAAGGATACTATTTGCAGCAAAAGTATCCTTTATAAATAAAGGACAGATGAAGTATTTCTTGGACAAGCAAAAGCTGAGGGAATTCATCACCACTAGACCAGTCCTGTAAAAAATGCTTAAGGAAGTCCTACACCCAGAAGTGAAAGAACAGTAACTATAATCATGAAAACATATGAAAATATAAAAACCACTGGTAGAGCAAACACAGAAAAAAAGAAAAAACTTAAATGTTACCACTACAGATCACCACCAAACCACAATAATAAACAACAAGAGAGAAAGAATGAAACAAAGGATATACAAAACAATCAGAAATCAAGTAATAAAATGACAGAGGTAAACCTCACATATCAATAATAGCCTTGAATGTAAATGGATTAAATTTTCCACTCAAAAGATACAGACTGGCTCAATGAATTAAAAAAAAAAAAAAAAAAAACATGACCCAACTACATGCTGCCTACACAAAATTCATCTCACCTGTAAAGACACATATAGACTAAAATAAAGGGACAAGAAAAGATATCCCATGCAAATGGAAACAAAAAGCAAGCAGGGGTAGCTTTATTTATGTCAGATAAAACAGATTTTAAGTCAAAAACTGTAAAAAGAGACAAAAGAAGGTCATTATATAATGATAAAAGTATCAATTCAGCAAAAGGATATAACAATTCCAAACATATATGCACCCAACGCCAGAGCACCCAACACCAGAGCACTAGATAAAGCAAGTACTATTAGATCTAAAGGGAGAGACAGAATGCAATACAATAATAGTTGAAGACTTCAACACCCCACTCTCGGCATTGGATCACTCAGACAAAAAATTAACAAAGAAATATTGGATTGAAACTGCACATTAGACCAAATAAGCCTAGCAGACGTTACAGAACTATTTCATACAACAGTTACAGAACACACATTCTTCTCATTAGCACACAGAACATTCTCCAAGATAGACCACATGTTAGGACACAAAACAAGCAACAACAAATTTTTAAAAATCAAAATCATTCAAGTATCTTTTCAGGCCACAGTGGAATGTAACTCAAAATCAATAACAAGAGGAACTTTGGAAACTACGAATGCATGAAAATTAAACAATATGCTCCTGACTGACCACTGAGCCAAGAAAGAAATTAAGGAGGAAATTTTTAAAAAGTCTTGAAAACAAATGAAAACTGAAAAACATACCAAAACCAAATGGGATACAGCAAAAGCAATGCTAAGATGGAAGTTTATAGTAACAAATGCCTACATCAGAAAAAGTAGAATGATTTCAAATAAATAATCTAGCAGTGCACCTCGAGGTACTGGAAAAACAAAAACCAACCAAACCCAAAATTAGTAGAAAGAAACAAGTAATAAAGATCAGAGAAAAAAAAAACCACAAAGGATCAACGAAATAAAAAGTTGTTTTTTTGACAAGATAAAATTGATAAAGCACTTCCTAGACTAACCAAGAGAAGACACAAACAAAATCAGAAATTAAAAAGGAGACATTACAACTGATACCATGGAAATACAAAAGATCACCAGAGACTATTATGAACAACTATACACTAACTACCTAGAAAACCTAGAGGAAATGGATAAATTCCTACACACATACAATCTACTAGATTGAATCAGGAAGAAATAGAATACCTGAACAGAGCAATAACAAGAAATGAAATTGAATCAGTAATAAAAAGTCTCCCAGTGAAGTCCAAGACTGGATGGCTTCACTACCAAACTTCTACCAAACTTTCAAAGAATTAACACCAATTCTCCTAAAACTATTCCAAAAAATTGAAGAGAAAGGGATTCTCCCTAAATCACTCTATGAAGTCAGCATTATCCTGATAGTAAAACCAGACACGGATGCAACAAAAAAAGAAAAGTATATGCTAGGCCAGGTGCAGTGGCTCACACCTGTAATCCCAACACTTTGGGAGGCCGAGGTGGGTGGATCATGAGGTCAGGAATTCAAGACCAGCCTGGCCAACATGGTGAAACCCCGTCTCTACTAAAAATACAAAAATTAGCCAGGCATGGTGGCATGCATCTGTAATCCCAGCTACTTGGAAGGCTGAGGCAGAAGAATTGCTTGAACCTGGGAGGCAGAGGTTGCAGTGAGCCGAGATCACGCCACTACACTCCAGCCTGGGTGACAGAGCAAGACTCCATCTCAAACAACAACAACACAAAAAAAAAAAGAAAAGAAAAGACAATTATAGGCTAACATTCCTAATGAATATAGACTTAGAAATTCTCAGCAAAATACTAGCAAACTAAATCCAACGGCACATCAGAAAAATAACACATCATTATCAAATGGAACTTAACTTATCCCAGGGATTCAAGGATGGTTCAACATATGCAAATCAATAAACATGATACATTACATCAACAGAACAAACGACAAAACCATATGATCATTCAACAGATGCTAAAAAAGCATTTGGTAAAATTCAACATCCTTTTATGATAAAAACCTTAAAAAAACTAAGGATAGAAGGAATATACCTCAACAAAATAAAGGCCACGTGTGACAAATCCACAGCTAACATCATACTAAATGAGAAATGCTGAAATCCTTTCAGCCAAGAACTGCAACAAGACAAGATGCCCACTTTCACCACTCCTATCCAACATAGTACTGGAAGACCTAGCCAGAGCAATCAGACAAGATAAATAAATAAAAGGCAGCAAAATTGGAAAAGAAGAAGTCAAACTGTCCTTCTTTGCTAAAGATATGATCTTCTACCTAGAAAAATCTAGAGTCCACCAAAAAACTGTTAGAACTGATAAATCCAGTGAAGCTGCAGGATACAAAATCAATATACAAAAATCAACAGTGTTTCTATACACCAACAATGAACAAGCTGAGAAAGAAATAAAGAATGAAGTCGCATTTACAACAGCTACCAAAAAATTAAAATACCTAGGAATAAATTTATCCTAGGAGGCGAAAGATCTCTACAAGGAAAATGACAAAACACAGAAGAAAGAAATTAAACAGGACATAAACAAAAAGACATCCCATGTTCAAAGACTGGAAGAATTAATAGCCTCAAAATAATCATACTGCCCAAAGCCATCTACAGATTCAACGCAATCTCTATCAAAATACCAATGTCATTTTTCACAGAAATTGAAAAAAAATCTTAAAATTTGCATGGAACCAAAAGAATCCAAATAGCCAATGCAATTGTGAGCAAAAAAAAAGAAAAAAGAAAAGAAAAAGAAAAAAGCAAGAGGCATCATATTACCTGACTTCAAAACAGATTACAAAGCTTTAGTAACCGAAACAGCATGGTACTGGTATAAAAACAGACACACACACCAATGGAACAGAATCCAGAATCTAGAAATAAATCCACGTATTTACAACAGAGGTGCAAGAATATACCTTGGGGGAAGGACAGTCTCTTTGATAAATGGTGCTGGGAAAATTGGATATCCATATGCAGAAGAATGAAATTCGATCCCTATCTCTCACCAAATATTTAAAAAGCAACTCAAGATGGATTGAAGCTTAAATGTTAGACCCAAAACTAAAAACTACTAGAAGAAAATATAGGGAATACACTTCAGGACATTTGGTACAGGCAAATATTTTATAGCTAAGACCTTGAAAGCACAGACAACAAACAAAAATAGACAAATGAGACTATATTGAACTAAAAACCTTCTGCACAGCAAAAGAAACAACAGAATGAAGAGACAATGTGCTGAATGGGAGAAACTATTTGCAAACTATTCCTCTGACAAGGGGATCTATCTAAAAGGAACTCAAACAACTCAAATAAAAGAACAAATAATCCCATTAAAAAGTGAGCAAAAGATTTGAACAGATATTCCTCAAAATAAGCCATACAAATGGTCAATAAGTATACAAAAAAAAACCACTAATCATCAGGGAAATGCAAACTGAAATCACAATGAGATATCATCTTACCCAGTTAGAATGGCTATCACTAAAAAGACAAAAAACAGATGCTGGCGAGGATGTGGAGAAAAGGGAACTTTTACACATTGTTGATAGGCATGTAAATTAGAATAGCCACTACAGAAAACAGTATGGAGATTTCTCAAGAAACTAGAAATAGAACTACCACGTGATCTAGCAATTCCACTTCTGGATATTTATCCAAAGGAAAAGTAATCAATATATCAAAGGGATACCCCCATGTTTATTGCAGCACTGTTCCTAATAGACAAGAGACAAAATCAACCTACAAATGTCTGTCAACAGGTGAATGGATAAAGAAAATGTGGTATATATACACAGTGGAATACTGTTCAGGCTTAGAAAAGAATGAAATTATGTCATTTGCAGCAACATGGATAGAACTGCAGGTCATTAAGCGAAATAAGCCAGACACAGAAAGACAAATTTTGCATGTTCTCACTCATATGTGGAAACTAAAAAGTGGATCTCATGAAGGTTGAGAGTAGAGTGACTGATAGCAGAGGCTGGGAAGGGTCTGTGGGTTGAAGTGGGGATGAGAGAGGTTGGTCAATACAAACACAGTCAGATAGAAGGTGTAAGTACTAATGTTTGAGAGTAGAGTAGGGTGATGATAGTTAACAACAATGTATACTGTATTTCAAAGTAGCTAGAAGTATGTGAAATGTTCTCAATACATATAAATAATACTCAAGGTGATGGATACTCCAAATACCCTGACTTGATCAGCCTGATCAGTATATATTCTATGTGTGCAATAAAATATCACATATCACCCCATAAATATATAAAATATTATATATAAAAAAGCCTGAGAACAGAATGAAGGGAAGAATAAAGGAAGAGAAGGATGATGGAAGGGGAGGACAGAGAGAAGAAAAGAGAAAGAAAAAGAAACATTTGCCAAAGTCCTTCCCATATCTCCTGGTCAACTGAACTCGTGTTCTCCCAGACCCATGAACTCGGCAATAGGGTTCAGCAACTTCTGCCTACCCACCCTAACCCTTACTGACACATCCACTCCGATTCCTGGCTCTACCAGGATCCTCATGGCCTGGGCTCACATCCTGCTCTGCCACTTGCTCCCTGGGTGAATCAGCACTGACCTGGCAGGGCTGGCAAGTTAATGCATGGAAAGTGCTCACAATAGGGCTCAACACAGAGGAAGCACTGAGAACTGCTCACGATCACCACCATCACCTCATCAAGTACTTTGTACTGTCTGAATCTAGTTCATTTAAGTCTTGCCTTCTCGGCAAATTTCAAGTTCTGTCACACAGTATGCAAGGTGGTAACCCTCACAGATCCAAACCAGTGCTGTGTACACTCCCAGCTGACATTGCACCTGAACACATACCACTGTGGTGAGCAGGGTTGGCTGGACCCATTGAGATGTGCCTGCATCACAGTGAGGCCTAATGCACGTGAAATGCCTGGAGTTTCCCAGTCAAGTAGGAGTTGCTGTCCATACCCTGCATCAGGGACTATGTTCATGGGGTGTGCCAGCCCAGGCTGTCTGTCAATGCGTGCTCCCACACTGTCTAGTAGACTAAGATCTGATATCAGGTAAATTCTAAAAATAAATAATGCCAAACATATCTTCGAAATAAGCTACATGTCATCTGCCGCAGCACACTCAGCCAAGCAATAAAATCTACTTGGTTTTCCTCTGCTCTTTGCAGATCCTTTTCCTTTAAGCTAAAGAAATAGGTGCCTTGAGCATCAAACTGTAATTTTAAAATATCCTGAAAGCCACAGATGTTCTCAACTACAATCTAAGTAGTCATTCAAATCATGCCTTGTACACTGCTATTTGTTCCAAGTGACCAGCGAGCATTTTTAAAAATCTCTTATTTCTGTCAAGTTCTTCATAAATCTTTTTGGCCTTTCATGGTGTTGTTTCTTCTGACGGCAGCTGCCCTTGCCCTACACCGACATCTGATCATTTCTCTCAGATGATTACAGTACCCACCAGCTCTTACATATAAATGTCAATGTGTGTTACTCTGGAAACAACATGAAGGACATCTCTACAATTACTTCTCTGCAGTAAAGAAGAAAAAATTAAATGGGCCAAGAAAAACATCCCATTGAATTTTTTAAAACTAGTTTTATAAACCAACTGTATTAGTCCATTTTCACGTTGCTGATAAAGACATATCTAAGACTGGGAAGAAAAAGAGGTTTAATGGACTTACAGTTTCACATGGCTAGGGAGGCCTCACAATCATGGTGGAAGGTAAGGAGGAACAAGTCACATCTTACATGGATGGCGGCAGGCAAAGAGAGAGCTTGTGCATGGAAGTTTCCATTTTTAAAACCATCAGATCTCATAAGACTTATTCACTATCACGAGAACAGCACAGGAAAGATTCACCCCCATGATTCAATTATCTCCCACCAGGTCCCTCCCAGAACACATGGGAACTGTGGGAACTACAAGATGAGATTTGAGTGGGGACACAGAGCCAAACCATATCATTCAGCCCCTGGCCCCTCCCAAATCTCATGTCTTCACATTTCAAAACCAATAATACCTTCCCAACAGTCCCCTAAAGTCTTAACTCATTCAGCATTAACTCAAAAGTCACAATCCAAACTCTCATCTGAGACAAGGCAAGTCCCTTCTGCCTATGAGCCTATAAAATCAAAAGTAAGGTAGTTACTTCCTAGATACAATGGGGATACAGGAATTGGGTAAATATAGCCATTCTGAATGGGAGAAATTGGCCAAAACAGAGGGGCTACAGGCCCCATGCGAGTCCAAAATCCAGCAGGGCAGTCAAATCTTAAAGTTCCAAAACAATCTCCTTTGATTCCATGTCTCACATCCAGGTCACGCTGATGTAAGAGGTGGGCTCCCATGGCCTTGGGTAGCTCCACCCCTGTGGCTTTGCAAGGTATAGCCCCTCTCCTGGCTGCTTTCATGGGCTGGCATTGAGGGTCTTCGGCTTTTCCAGGTGCACGGTGCAAGCTGTCAGCGGATCTACCATTCTGGGGTCTGGAGGACGGTGGCCCTCTTCTCACAGCTCCCCTAGGTGGTGCCCCAGTAGGGACTCTGTGTGGGGGCTCCAACCCCACATTTCCTTTCTGCACTGCCCTAGCAGAGGTTCTCCATGAGAGCCCCATCCCTGCAGTAAACTTCTGCCTAGACAACCAGGCATTTCCATACATCCTCTAAACTCTTGGCAGAGGTTCCCAAAACCCAATTTTTGACTTCTGTGCACTGACAGGCTCAATACCACATGGAAGCTCCCAAGGCTTGAGGCTTGCACCTTCTGAAGCAGGACCTGAGCACTATGTTGGCCCCTTTCAGCCATGGTTGGAGTGACAGGGACACAGGGCACCAAGTCCCTAGGCTGCACAAAGCACAGGGACCCTGGGCCTGGCCCATGAAACCACTTTTTCCTCCTAGGCCTCTAGGCCTATGATGGGATGGGCTGCCACAAAAGTCTGTGACATGGCTGGAGACATTTTCTCCACTGTCTTAGGGCTTAACATTCAGCTCCTTGTTACTTATGCAAATTTCTTTAGCCAGTCTGAATTTCTCCTCAGAAAACAGGATTTTCTTTTCAATCGCATTGTCAGGCTGCAAATTTTCCAAACCACTTCCCTTATAAAACTGAATGCCTTGCATTACTTCCCGTTTTCACGATCTGCTGCTCGTCTCAGGCTCGTAGTTCGCCTTCAACATGCCGGAGCCAGCGAAGTCCGCTCCCGCGCCCAAGAAGGGCTCGAAGAAAGCCGTGACTAAGGCGCAGAAGAAGGACGGCAGGAAGCGCAAGCGCAGCCGCAAGGAGAGCTACTCCGTATACGTGTACAAGGTGCTGAAGCAGGTCCACCCCGACACCGGCATCTCCTCTAAGGCCATGGGAATCATGAACTCCTTCGTCAACGACATCTTCGAACGCATCGCAGGTGAGGCTTCCCGCCTGCCGCATTACAACAAGCGCTCGACCATCACCTCCAGGGAGATCCAGACGGCCGTGCGCCTGCTGCTGCCCGGGGAGTTGGCCAAGCACGCCGTGTCCGAGGGCACCAAGGCCGTCACCAAGTACACCAGCGCTAAGTAAACTTGCCAAATTGATGCCTGCAGCTCCTGGGGAAAGTGGAAGTCAGATAACTCCTTTATGAAAAGGCAGCATTCAAAAACTATAAAAAATATAAATCCAACATTATTAAAATTTTGCACATCCAAAGATATCACGAACAGTTAAAAACAAACCCACAAGGTGACAGAATATATTTGTCACATACTGACAAAAAGTTAAAACTCAAATATATAAAGAATATTTACAAATCAAATCTCATAAAATAAAAACTGTAGAGAATCTGAATAGACCATTCCAAGGAAAGTGGGAAAATCTCCAAATAGCCAAAAATCTCATTTAGAAAAACTCCGATTTCACATTAGGAAATGCTGATAAACAATAACTCTCAAGCACTGCTGGTGGAATATGGGAGTATAAATTTAAAATACTACCCTGGAAAGCAAATTGTTCATTTTTATTCATGTTGAATATGCACATTTACCAAATAATTCCACTTCCATGTAACCAGAAAATGCACAGCTGTATACAGTGCTGTTTTGTAATGAGGAAAAAAAATCAACAGAGAAATGAATAAAGTATTTACTGACAAAAAAAAAAAAAAACAAAACTGAATGCCTTTAACAGCACCCAGGTTATCTCTTGAATTCTTTGCTGCTTAGAAATTTCTTCCACCAGTTACCCTAAATCATCTCTCTCAAGTTCAAAGTTCCACAGACCTCTAAGGCAGGGGCAAAATGCCACCAGTCTCTTTACTAAAACATAACATGACAAGAGTCACCTTTGCTCCAGTTCCCAACAAGTTCTTCATCTCTGTCTGAGACCACCTCAGCCTGGACTTTATTGTCCATATCATTATCAGCATTTTGGTCAAAGCCATTCACCAAGTCTCTAGGAAGTTCCACACTTTCCCTCATTTTCCTCTCTTCTTCTGAGCCCTCCAAACTGTTCCAACATCTGCCTGTAACCCAGTTCCAAAGTCACTTCCACATTTTTGGGTATCTTTTCCGCACAACCCACTCCTGGTACCAATTTACTGTATTAGTCCATTTTCACGCTGCTGATAAAGACATATCCAAGACTGGGAAGAAAAAGAGGTTTAATAGACTTACAGTTCCACATGGGTGGGAAGGCCTCACAATCATGGCAGGAGGTAAGGAGGAGCAAGTCACATCTTACATGAATGGCAGCAGGCAAAGAGAGATCTTGTGCAGGGAAACTCCCATTTTTAAAACCGTCAGACCTCGTGAGACTTATTCACTATCATGAGAACAGCACAGGAAAGATTCATCCCCATGATTCAATAATCTCCCACCGGTTCCCTCCCACAACACATGGGAATTATGGGAGCTACAAGATGAGATATGGGGAGGGGGGGGGGACACAGGGCCAAACCATATCACCAACCAAAACTAATTATCTGATTCTCTAACCAAGGAGAGTTATTGAGCTTTAAACATTAAAACAGATCAGATTCACATTTAATATTGCCATAGGAACCTTTGTATTAAAGTAGCAATTTGAGTACATTTAGTGCTATCATATAAGAACAATACTTTCATAGGTGATGTTTACTTCTGCCCTTTTTATGAGTGACCCTCACCCAAGTGCAGTGGTCTTACTGCTGCCATCTGCAATGAGGGGAACGAGTTCTGGAGGGTTCAATGCCTTGCCCTGTCTTATCTAAAAGGGCTGACAAACAGTGAAACTAACACAAAAAGGCAACATGCCTGTGGAAATTGACAACAATCCTTGACACACAAGCATGGGAAATGGGAGGGCAGGTGTGCTTTCAGCCTGTTCTTGGAGAACATTTAAACTATAAAAAGGGCCTTTGATAAAAACAGATCAATTTCAAGGCAAATCGACAAAAGTACTGACCATAAGATCCGTTAAGTTACAATTAGAACATAATTTGATTGTTAAAATCATATCTATTAAGATATGCTTATGTAAAACAAAAGAATCCCTTCCCTGGAGAAAAATTATCTAGCTAATTCTTAAAAAACAATTTAGAGATTACAAAAAGAATTCCAGCCAAACTTCTCAAAAAAAAAAAAAAAAAAAAAGAATAGGTAGCTGCCATTGTGTGGAACTAAGGAGAATGAAGAGAACAAGTAATAATAAACTGAAAAGTCCTCCACAGAAGAAAACTTCTCTCCACCAAAATCAAATATTCATCAAGAATCTGCTAAACAAAAAAAAACCATCCAGAAGAAAACTGGTCTCTCCCTCAATAATTCAATATGGCAGAAGAGAGTGTGGGCTGGCAGCTGTTCCTCCCTTGCTGTGAAAACTGCCTATCCCTTCCACAGAGTCCTGCCCTATGACCAACATCTGAAATGGAAACAGCCCAGGAGGTCTCCAGGGCACTACCCTTTCACCAGAGTACCAGAACTCACAGAAACCCAAAGTTTGCTCTCCCCTTCAAGGCACTCAGCTGTGTGTGTGATGAGGTGTTATGTCTTCATCCTCAAAATACTGTCATTGTTCAGAACATTTTTGGAACTCCTCCTAGAATTACCTTCAATCTGTGAGCCACACACAAACATCAGTGTTACCATCTGAGATTCTGACGCCACCTCCCAATCAGGATTCTAAGACTGAGAGTGTCTTAAAAGTCACGTTGGTGGCCAGGTGTGGTGACTCATGCCTGTAATCCCAGCGCTTTGGGAGGCCAGGAGGTCAGGAGTTCGAGACCAGCCTGGCCAACATGCTGAAACCCTGTCTCTACTAAAAATACAAAAAAATTTGCTGGGCATGGTGACACATGCCTATAGTCCTAACTACTCAGGAGGCTGAGGCAGCAGAATCACTTCAACCCAGGAGGTGGAGGTTGCAGTGAGCCGAGATCGCACCACTGCACTCCAGCCTGGGCAACAGAGTGAGACTCCGTCTCAAAAAAATAAATAAAATAAAAAATAAAAGTCATGCTGGCTACTGTGAGCTTCATTTATGAGCCACTAATGATGGTGAAGAGACCAAGTGGCTCCCCCAAGCCCCACTCACACAGCTGGGCCCTCTCACCCGCCCGCCTGTAGGCTTACCTGCCCAGCTCAGTAGCACAGGACAGTCCCCAGCTGCATGTGGAAACACTGTTTCCATTTAGCCCTGGAGGACACTGCATCTTCCCGGCTTTCCTCCGACCTCACCTGGCTGTTCTGTGCTCCCTCATCATCTTCATCTGCACTGAAAATGCTGGCCCCACAGCTTCATCCTCAGCCCTATATCACTCCCTCAGCAATGCAGTCCCCTACCATGGCTACAAATACCTTCTACACTATGATGATTCCCAGCACCAGCTGTTCCTCTGGCCCCGACTCCTAACATTCCCTTCTTATCCTCTCCAGCGACACTGGCCTTTAGTCACTCCTACAATACTCCTTTGCCCATAGCTGCCTCAGACCCTTCCCCTGCCACCCTTGGCCTGTGATGCTCTGCTCAAAGATCTCAGCACAGGCTGTCCTTCGCTTCCTTCAGGTATCCACTCAAATACCCAAAAGAGCAGCTCCGCCCAACACTCTCTAGCCTGCTCCTCATGCCACTCCATTTTTATTTGCATTACTATATGATATATGCCATTATATTTGTTTACTATCAAGTCTCCTCACCTGAATATAAGTTCCATAGGGAAAGAACTCTGTCTTGCTCACTCCTGAGCCTGACAACTATAACAAATGGGGCTGGTCCACTCCCTGCATTCTGACCCACCCGAGTGCTGGGAGCTCAACAACAATGGTAATAAACAGGCCGGCCCACTCCCTGCAGACTAACTCTCATGAGTGTACTCCAAGCTGAAGCGCACCCTCCCACGGCACCATCCCCAGCCAGGGCAGGTTCAGCACGCTGGCTCGGCAGCATTGTCTGAAGAGGGGACACAAAGCTCCCTCACTGTATTCTGTGGAAGACAAAAAAGAAACACAACTGCTCTCTTACCAAGTCCTTACTTTCTTACCTAGTTAGGGATTTTTCTTTTTTTTTCTTTTTTTTTTTTTTTTTTTTGAGACCAAGTCTCCCTCTGTCCCCAGGCTGGAGTGCAGTGGTGTGATCTTGGCTCACTGCAACCTCCACATCCCAGGTTCAAGCGATTCTCCTGCCTCAGCCTCCTGAGTAGCTGGGACTACAGGCGCTCGCCACCACACCCAGCTAATTTTTGTATTTTTAGTAGAGACAGGGTTTCACCATGTTGGCCAGGCTGGTCTCGAACTCCTGACCTCAGGTGATCCACCTGCATCGCCCTCTCAAAGTGCTGGGATTACAAGCATGAGCTACCACACCCAGCAAGGGATTTTACAATGAAACAGTTTCAGAAGGTACAACTATGACTCTATTTGTAATATTCACCATGGGATACAGAAGAAGGAATGATCAGACTTGAGGACGTGAAATCTGGAAAGGCCCTCTGGAAGGTGGTTTCAAGCTGGATTTTGAAGGTATAGGAACATAAAGTATCTACCCATTTAAATGATTATGAGATGGAGTCATAAAACTTTATATAGTAGGCTATTTTATATTTCTGACTTTTTTCTTTCCAAAAAGATGCTATTCCCTCAACCTTCACAGTAAATTACAACTCCCTTATAATGGAATGTAACATCTTGGCTTCTTCCATTAGCTCATCTGTTTCTCAATTACACTCTGGCAACAGATTCCTCACTTCTCTCTTTCCAAAATCGCTTCTCAACTTTTTCAACATGATACTGTAGACAACAGATCACACACAGAGGAGAAGTGGAAAAGGTGTTACTTGGCCCAGCCAGGAATTTGCTCCTTTTCTAAAATATACTTGCATGGCAGATGGGTCAGCTCTGATACATATGCAGAGCCTGAATCACAACCAGATTAGTCCCACTTCCACACATGTCAAAATACATTAAAATAAGCAGATGTCAGTAACCATAACAGAAATACCACTGGCAAACAGAATTCTCAGAATTCCTCATCTATTAAAATGAAGGCAACACATAATTTTTACGTTTCAAATTAAACGTAGGTTTAATTTATAAATTCGGCATGGCACAGGAGAAAACACACAAGCTGAGGTAGAGGGTTTATAGTCAGGGGCCAGGATATGAATGCCAAATGGGGTACTGCCTAACTGACTGGCCTTGGCAAGTAAATCTTTCACATTCTCTGAGCCTGTTTCCTTGTCAATATAATACAAAGTACATCCATCTCAAAGAGTTTTATACAGCACATTGTATAATACATGTAAAACAAGTACAAATGTAATAATAACTATTAGGGCTCTCATTGGCTACTCTGCTTCCTTTGGCCATGCAGATTATCACATACTTATGGCCTGAAAGAATTACCTTTTCAAGAATTACCTTTTGGTTTGGTTTTCTGGGAAGTTCAGTTTATGGAGAATACGTTTTAAATATTAGAGTTTGTGTCAGCAAATATGTTTTTGTTTATTGTGATAACACAATGTGGGACAAAGCAATACTTACGTCCCTTACTTTAAATATATGTACATATGCCATTAGTCATGTATACTGAATTATTTGTGTATATTTAAAACAAAGACATATAAGCATTCTCTTCATCGCAAATTAGATCAGAAATCCTCCAGAGGTACCCAGATACAAATGCTGTCCCCACAAAGTCCACGAAGCCTCTCCCCTCCACAGCACTCTGTGGAAGCCCCTCTGCTTTGACTCACTCCTGGACAGCCCCTCCGCCCTCTGTCCACGCAGCTTTGCCCTGACACTGTGTCATTTCACTCCTACCTGCTGCCACTGCATACCTCGTGGGGCCCTCCCTCCGTGCTTGTCATCCCTAGCCTTCCTTCAATATGGCTTCTAGCACCACAATGCTACTGGTTCTGCTTTCTTCAAGGAGCCCAGACATCTGGACACTGGCTCTCGGGGCCTCTACTCAGTCCTCAGCCTCTTGGTCTTGTTTTCTGCTCCTTTTCCAGGCTCTCCCTTCACCAAGCAACTCCGAACCCCTCAGCAACTCTGCCTTCCCTTTCTATAGGCCAGGGGGAGTGTGCGGCGGCTCAGCCCCTCTATTCACTGCCACCCTCATGCTCTACCCTGAAGATGGAATCAATTCTGCTTCATATCATAGCTCAAAATAGAGCTCTCTCAGATTCACATTTTGAGTCTGTTTCTCTCCTGAAAAGCTCTCACCTTTCTGAGTCCAAACCCAACAAGGCAATGTGAGGAGTGTGAACAGAGGGACACGGTGATGAGGATGCCCAGGGTTGAGGCCAGAGGAGGTCAGATCATGGACCCTGACCAGAGCCCCTTCCGGTTTTCAGTGGGGATGTCAGTGGTGTAATCCGACTGTGAAAGATCAGTCTAACAAAACAGCGGGGAGAGAGAGGGCTGAATCAGAGCGACTAGGTCCAAAGCCGAGGGAACCACCAACAGATC